>NW_025791781.1:300000-464417 GCF_000001405.40 Homo sapiens | reverse complement strand
CTTAGGCCATGTGTTTGTCTCCTACTCACTTACTTCTTAGAGTGCTTCCACAAGTGCCAATCATGATTGAAAAATTAAATATATAACAGAGGATCTATTGGCCGCTGTGTTCCACAGTTCCTCATGAAAATACCACACCTGCTGGCCTTCCCCAGGGAGCGGCCTCTCAGTTCGCGTGGTGCTCCTGCCCAGGCTCTGGAACACCGCGGCTGGTGCAGTTGGGAAGTCCGGGGTGCTGCATGGCCTTCCACTCCAGGAGGGCCACCCCCGAGACACCCGCCACAGGGCCTGGCTCTGGCTGCTTCTCCAACAACAACAGCAGCGCTCCCCCTGACCCATCTGTGATATTTCTTATTTTGCTCTTCTTTCATCCCTAGAGGCAGTCTTC
The DNA here is from genome assembly GCF_000001405.40 of Homo sapiens. Taxonomy (NCBI): domain Eukaryota; kingdom Metazoa; phylum Chordata; class Mammalia; order Primates; family Hominidae; genus Homo; species Homo sapiens. The sequence continues at coordinate 464,029 of NW_025791781.1, read as the reverse complement.
CCTTCCATGAATGTCAAGATTGTAATGGATATAAAATAATCAACTGTTTTGTTTACATTAGCATTTGAGAACAAAAGATGGAAGGATCATTTTACTGAAGAAGCCTTGTTAACAATCTCCATGTATAAGCCTGAGTTTGAAATGACGAGATGAAATTTTATTTTTTCAAAGAGTTTTGTAATTGAAATGATAGAAAACTGAGTTTTCAGTATCTGAAGACTATAGATACTGAAAACTGAGTCTTCCGTATCTATAGAAACGATAGAAAACAAGTGTCTACATGAAGCAACACTTCTGAAGGGAGAGGTAGCTGAAACCAGGACACTTGAGGATGCTTATCAAATATGTTAAAACCTCGGTAATTCAGTTCCTTCTCATGAAAAAACCCTAAAGCGCTCTCAATTATTAATATGTTCAAATATTATTTTTCCCAAATTAGTCTGATCAAGAAGAAACCTACCTAAAGCAAAATCTACATAAAAATATTCATACTTAAACCTTTATAAGAAAGCTCTTAACTTCTAAGAATGGAAATTCAATTTTTACATGGAAAGTCCTTCAGACTTATATGCTGTATATAAAGTCTACACAATGGTTTCTGAGTTTTCATAAGTTATCTGATTTTATTCACTAGGTGCTTCCCACATCTTACTTCTATAAATATGTTTTATATAAGAAATTATTGACACTGCTTTTAACATTATCTTCTAAAATATACTTGATTTTTTTTCGAATAATTTCTCTTTTTGCCTAAAACTCAGCTGCTTCTCTTCTTCCAACCCGTGCTACCTGCTGAGCTTTCTGCCTCCCTACAGAGCAACTCCAGTCTTTTAATTACTCAAGGCAGAAACATGGAATTATCGTGGAACGCTTCCTCTCAGCATCCACAATAACTCAGGCTCTAAGTTCAGTACATTGTACCACCAACTTACTGCAAGCCCTGCCTGAATTCACGCCTCATCGTGGCTCACTGATGCTACTCTCCAAGCTTCTAATGCGTCTCCACCCCTGCCCTTAGGGGTTTTTCATTTTCTTCTCTGCAGACACTCATTGGACTTACTTACCTGATAGTTTATCTACCATCAGGAAACGCTACTCCTTTGTTTAGATTCCAGTGAGGCCTCTCTGGTGCTTTCAATGATAGGGAACCAGGGAGCAAGACCTGCAGAGTTCCTTGTTCTAAGCTCCTGCTTTCTGGTTAGTCTGTTCTGACGTCCTGTGGCTCTGTGGATCCATATCCCCTTCCTGTCTTTTGGAGTCTGTGTATTTCCCAATCATACCTGGATGCCTTTCCCGTTTCTCAAGTCTTTCTCTAATTTGAAAATCCATTGTCATCTTTCAATAAACAACTCAACCATCACCTCCTTTGAGAGGGTTTTCTTATTGCCTCCCCTGGAATGAGACTCTCGCTCTCCTAGAATGAGCTCATTCCCGGGGAAGAGATAAGAAACTGAATGCTACTGTTGCAACATATGTACATGTCTAAATCTCCACCTTTGTCATTTATCTTTCTGTTGTCAGTGAACAGCATGGCACCAATCTGAGTTGGCTGAATGAATGAATGACTGAGTGAAGAAGAGAGAAGGGAGTACAGACACGCACTCCTGCTCTTTTTTCGCACTTGGCTTATATTGCTCATTCTGAATATTATTCTTTAAGCAGGATATAGATAAACTGGAGAACATACAAAGGATGGTATGGGGATTGCAGCCTTGCAGCTAGAGAGGAGCATATGATGCTGAGAGGTGTTCAGACTGGCTCAGGAGAATCAGCAGAGCCATCCTTGCACACCTGCAATGGTGTCAATTGAGAAGAAACTTTGTTGTGTGTAGCCTCAGGGATGAGAAAACCAATGGGCTAGAGCTATAGAAAGAGATAAGTTCTTCACTCTCTCCTGCATGGACTGTACTTAGAAATAGTATTGGCCACTGAAAAGGGAATTTAAAAATTTATGCATATTACATATGTAATGTCAGTAGAACATGTTTTTCAGCTCAAGTCATTAATGACTTATCTAAAGAAAGGCCGTGTCAATAGAAATGGAAGTCATTAAGTAATAGAAGACTGACAAATGGAGAATTATAGTGGCAAAAGTTAATCATGGCTCTCCAGACCCTTTATTGGAGAAAAAGTGCCCTGCCAGGTTACTTAAAGTATTCAGTCTGCGTTTAAGGAAGGTTTATATTTTAAAGAGATGCACAAAGCTATTGGAGACTAATGATATTAAATTTTATTAATATAATTTAAGTCCTCCATCAAAGTTATGTTTATGGTACAACCTCGTGAAAATTTACTTCCCTTTGGGAAAGTATGCACTGGTTGAAATGACACAAATGTTTAGTCTGCCTAATAATTACAATTTGAAATTTAAATTACAAGTTGGTTCTGTCAATCGGTCTCATATGACTTTGTTTAGCATGAGCAAGTGTCAGGGAATCTTATCAGCTCTGAGACACTGATGAAATTAATTTTATGGGTAGGAAATGAAAAGAGGGAAATCATAAAGAGTGGAAGATTAATAAAATCATTGATGCCACGTGACCAAGGATAGCCAGACAGCTCCAGATGGCACCCTTTTGTCTTTCTTTAGACTTTTAGTGGAGAGACATGCATGTCTGTTTCACCAAGGAGAGAGAAACTGGGAGGGACATGAGAAATGCCAATGGTGCCATCCCAAGAGCTGTCTCACCTATGCCCCATCCACAATAGACGCCTTTTGCAGGATTCCCATCCAACTCAGGAATGGAGATGGCCACTGGGGAGATAGAAGGCATCTCAGTCCTCAGACACTTTGGTTATCACATCAGCGAAGGACAGAAAAATACAGGAATACTTGCTATGGTCCAAATGTGTCCCCAAAATTCATATGTTGACACTTAATTGCCAATACGATAGTGTGTAGATATGGGGCCTTTAAGTGAGGATTAACTTGTAAGGCTCTAGCCCTCATGGATGGATCTGGACCCTCCATCCATGGGCCCCAGAGACTGGGTTCATCCCCTTCCACCTTTTCCATATGAAGACACAGAGTTCTTTCCCTTTTGTCCTTTCTGCCCTTTCTGCTCCCTCCATCACGTGAGAAAAACTGGGTGGTATCATCAGTGACAAATGGGTCTCTACCAGACATGGAACCTCCTGCGCCTTGATATTTGGCTTCCAACCTCCAGAACTGTGAAAAAATGTATTTCTGCTCATTATAATTTACCTAGTCTCAGATATTTCGTGACAGCCCCACAAAACAGACCAAGACAACAGTCTTTTTCAACCGTAGTACATTAGTTAGCAGATAGTTGAACTTCTTTCCAAAATGTGTAGTAATATTTTCTGTAAAAATATTACTATTTTTATAGAATTTTACAGAATTGCTATTTTAAATATTACCATTTTTACAGAAAACAAAAAACACAGGACACATTTTATTTTAATTTTAAAGTGTTTATTCAGAAATTTAAGGAAAATTCCAAAAGGGTGTTCTTTGGAATAAACTCACTCTTTCAATATACATATAAATTTCATTTGCTTTATGAAGCTATAATGATATCTCTGACCTGCAATATGTAAATACCTGCATTATGTAAATACATGTAAACTCTTGATTACCTGTCAGCCACCAGAAATAACTTCTTCCTGCATACTTCAAGCTCACCTCACTCCCAGATATAATTTCTATTTCATGATGCCTCTCCCTACTGCTGGTACTATAATGCCAAGCAATTAAACCACATATAGCTATGTTAAAAATTGCTTGAGGCCGAGCGCGGTGGCTCATCCTGTAATCCCAGCACTTTCGGAGGCCGAGGCGGGTGGATCACGAGGTCAGAAGTTTGAGACCAGCCTGACCAACATGGTGAAACCCCGTCTCTACTAAAAATGCAAAAATTACCTGGGCGTGGAGGCTCGCACCTGTAATCCCAGCTACTTGGGAGGCTAGGGCAGGAGAATCACTTGAACCCAGGTGGCGGAGGTTGCAGTGAGCGAGATCGCACTACTGCACTCCAGCCTGGGTGACAGGGCAAGACTCTGTCTCAAAAAAATAAAATAAAATAAGACTCCATCTCAAAAAAAAAAATTGCTTGAGAATTTGATTAGAAAGGCTAATTTCTTTCTTAAAGATGGCTGTCAATTACATCACAAACAAAGATATTGATCAAGAACAAATGAGACTAATTTTTTCTTTCAAAGGTAAATTCGGATGGGAGTTCTCAGAGGAAGACATGAGGAGAATGTAATGATAACATTTATGACTATATAATAAAACAATAAAGGAACAGTAAAGGAATCCAATGGGCAGTAAAGAGTAAATCCAAATAAACTTGGGCTGATGATAAAATAATATATTAAAATGATATATATGGAATTCAGTAGGAATATAGATAAACAAGCACCTGTTTTGTCTCAGAGAATAAGGACAACCTCAGAGAGCAGGTGTTATTTGAGTTGAAACATGGAAGGTGAACAAGAGTTCATACAAACAAAAAGAAGGCAGGTCATTCTAATCAAGGAGCATGGGTAATCAGGAGCAGGGATAAGGAGGTGGGAACATGAGGTATGGTTCAGGCCCCTGGAACAGGAAATGTGAGTGGAAGCAAGTGAAAACAGTGAGGCTGGACTGGGTGGCAGGAGCCAAGGCATGAAGCACTTTAATGCCAAGGATTTTTGATCTTAAACAGTAAGCAATGGGGGGATTCTGAAGAATTTTGAGTCAGTGAAAGACATTTTCAGAGTTCTTAATGGAGAAATTACTAGGGCAACAATAGGATGATCACCTGGAGGGAGGCCAAGTAGAAGCATTAAGACTATTCTAGAGGACCAGGCAAGAGGTACTGTGAGCCTAGACCAGGAGTGTGGCTGTAGGAATCAAGGAGAAGTGGTAGATATACAAGATTTTGTATGAATTGGCATTATTTATGGATTGATAGAGCTGGAGGCTAAGAAGATGATTCATTAGTTTTCAACGTGTTAAGTTCTCTTTTTGTGAAATCTTCCTAGATAATTAAGTACAGTCTACATTGTTAGTTTCTTACTTTGGCCTTTTAGTGGCATCTTCATTTTTTCCCCACGATTTTTGGGTAAATGTGTTTTGTTTTGTTTTGTTTTGTTTTGTTTTGTTTAAACACATACTTATTCTCACCTCCCACAGGAGGAAGTGTAACTTCCTAACTCACCCGCATTGGGCTTGGCCATGTGATACACTTCAGAAAGTAAAATGAGAATGGATGTGACCTCTGCCACCTCTGCCTTGAAGCTTTGGATGCCATGTGGGAATCAGCTGAGAATTTTTGTGCCTTTGCTGACTGCTGGCAAAGCAACATACCCCAGGCAGGGCAGTTCATTCAGCCTGGGTTCTGGCGTAAGAAGAAATGTGATCAACTGTTCAGACCAACACACCATGTTTAGATAACATGAACAAGAAATTAATGTGTGGGCAAGGGACTGAGATTCTGAGTTTGTTTTTTACTGTAGCAGAAGCTAATTCAGGGACTATATGCTTCTTTGTAGCAGAATACTTATATTTCTGTACCTAGACCCCCCTTCTTAAAATGCATCTTAAACAGAGATTTCAGAAATGAATTATAATAAATTGAAGACTTAGCTTGAAGGGTAGAGGATTTTAAAAAGAAGCGCCCTCTTTGAAATCCACACCATGGATCTTATACTTTTTCCAGAAGACTAGTTTTTGAATGACTGTCTATTTGCATAATGGCTTTTCTTGTGTTCCCTTTGTATTTCTAGCTAATTACTTTAGAACATCTTCCTTACATTTTGCGTCATTATGGTCCTTTTCTTTAGGACCTATACATTCCTGGTCCACTACCTGCAATTTGGATAGAGTAGTTTTGGGAATAAAACATTGAAGTTGTGAGTAGTCTGAAACAATGATAGTTATCAATATTGATAAGTTGTCAATGTTGTAGACCACTCACATTAGAAAAAGAAGGCAACCTTTCTTTTCTCCTTCTATTATGAAATATGGGCTTTAGTGGTGGTCTGAGGTCAAATTTAGAAAGTATTGAAGATCATAATTTAACATTTTAAATGTAAAGAATCTTTTTCAAAAAATTCTTTGATGTCTTGAATTAGACTATAATGTAGTAGATCCCTGAGGTTTAACTTGAACCCCAAAAGAAGGAATTCTGGCATGAACAAGAATATGTTTGACACTGTAGTGGCCAAGGGAAAGCTTCCCTTCTGCCCTCTGTGGATTCCTTGAAAATAAACTGACAATACGTGGATTAATAGGAGAAAAAGACAAACACATTTATCTAAGGTACATAAGCAAGGGGGAAGTGCAGGAGGATGATTACTCAATAATCTAGTGAGGTTCAGATGCTTATATGCCCTTCTTCAAAGGGAAGAGGAGATGGGAGAAATGTATTTTCAGGGATAGTAAATGATTTTTAGGGGAATTGAATGAACATGGAGACAAAATAGCTTGTAAATGATATCTTTGTAAGCTCGATGGGACTGAGAACCAGCAATGATTTGGGACAAAGCTTGTCCGGACTCCAGGTATGGTGTTTAATTTTCAATCTCCTCCTCTATGTTATGAGTTTTATCTTCTCTGGTTAATAAAATTTCATGGGAAGGATCAAAGGCAATTGTGTGCCTCCTTGGGGATCTGGCTTCCAGATAGATAAGGGAACTTCGGAGAATAGCCTTATCCTTTGCTTTGTGGGAGACAGAGGATGGAGAGACAGGAGGGGGGAAGAGGAAGGTCAGAGAGACTTGGAGGCTGCTTCTTTTAGTTAAGCATGTCAAAGTGCTGTATTTTGGGGTATCATGTTTTGAGCCCCAACAACTCATAACAGTCATCCCTTATACATTTCCTGAAGTGAAAGTATCATTTCAATGGTAGTATTAGTTTTACTACTACTACTCGTAAGTGCTGCTACTTTTGAACATACCAGGTACTGTAGACTGACTTACACAATAAATCTACGGTAAGTTGATTTACTGCAGTTGTGATTCACACAAACCTCACAAATATTTTAAGAATAGGCACTAATATTTCTGTTTTATAGACAAAGAAACTAGAGTTGAGTGAGACTAAGGAACTGCCATGTTAGCACAGTAACCAGGCTCTGAAACTACCTAGTCATCTCATGCCCTGACATAAACTTACTTCAAATATATGCTATGAGACATGTATAAGGCTACATAATAATTCTAGAAAAAGTTGTAATTTGTTATCTACCATTATTCCATTCTCCAATTTTTGTTTCTAATTTCTTTTTTTTTCCCCTTGAGTTCACATCTGTGTCACTGAAAAAAACAACCTAGTTTGTTAGGCACACATCTTCTGTGTTGATGGATGTTAGCAACATATTTACTATTTTATTGGATTTTCAGATGCATTCTTTGTGGACTTAGTGATTAGATATTACTTTATTTCCAAATGATCATCTTTTTTTCTTAAAACTGAGAACACTTTGTATATATAAGAATTAAATAATTTTTATTATTCGTACGCAGATAATTTCTTCATTTAAGTAAACATGACTACCAAAGTCTAGATTCACCAAAAATGTAAAGATACCCTTCACATCACAGGACAGAATATGGAAGCCACTGCCATCTTTCATGACCATGTAAGCTAATAAGTATTCAGCCATTGAAATGGGCACATACAAACATACCCATATAAATAGAAACAACTGAAATTTACTTTGTAATTTATGTGCTTTTATCCAATATGTGAAAAAACAAGCATGGTATCAATTGTAAAGAACTTTAATTTTCTAAAATTCAATTTTAATTTTTGTGTTAAATTTTTAAGAAGTAAAATTAGAAAGCTTATCTTAGTGATCATCCAACTAATAGTTACTAAGATTTTATAATTACTGAGATACCAATATATCTTTCTTTTTAACACAAACAAACCAAATTGCATATTAAGTCAAACATTAAGCTACTTTTCTTGTATTTATTTGTATTGTGATATTGTTTGAATATGCAGAAAATTTACCAGGAAAGGAACTTTATGTCAAAAGAAAATGGAGCTGAGGGTTATGCAACAAGAAAATAAAAAAGTGTTTTCTATTTTCTTGTATTGCTAAAATGTTATCATCTTCTAGTCTCTCATTATGTCAAACTGCATATATATAAATGATATATCCCACTATGTGTTAATTCCTGCAATTGAAAACATGAAGAAATAAAAACCAGGTACCTCCTATATGGAGGCATGGTTATTTGAATACCACTTTTATCTACTTTTATGAGTTCATAAGTTCCTACGGATTCTAAATAATATAACTTACACATGTTTTTAAAGACTTCCAAGTGCAGCTCTATTCTGGAATGAGAGGCTTGCTGCACTTTCTTTATTATTGAATTCTTCAAGCTACTATTTTATCAAAATGTGAAGCAAATTTTAAAAGTCAATGCTTATTACCTGTTTAAATTACTTCTTTGTTATTCTCATTGAGCTGTTTTTTTGTGCAGAGTTAAGGTGAGGGGGCAAAGAAGTTAGAATGAAAGAATGGTTTTTATAAAAAGGAAAAAAGGAAGGAAAAAGGGAAAAGACGAGAAAAGAAGGGAGAAAGAAGTGGTATAAGTATAGTTTTTCATACTTTTCCATCTTTGAAGTCAGGACATACCTTGCATTTGACGGGTCTATGATGCCAGAGCCAATAAGCTCTGATTGGTGTGCAGAGCTTATTCTTTTTCCTGATGACCTAAATCAGGAGCAGTGTGTCCATCACCAAAACTTTTAAGAAACTTTTGAGGAAGGAATATGAGTCCCAGTTGTTGTTTGTTAGGATCAAGAAGGTGAGAACATCAAAACTTGCAGAAAGATATTAGTGATTTGAAAAAAGCTCCCAGAGAGGATAGTGAAACACTTTTATGAGATGCTGCATGATCAATGCTCTTGAAGGCACAAAGGACCATACTGTGTGGTGGGGAAATATGAGGATATCAACACTATTATCTGAAATATTACAGAAGAATTTACATTTAAAGATAAAGAAATTTGGAAATACATCAATCATTCATTTTGCTCATATTATTTTCCTTCTTATGTACATACAAAAATGATTTATGATAAAAACTTATCTAAAAGAGGTCTTTCTGTAAGTGTAAAATAAAAATCCTGAGTTATAATGAAACTGTTATTTGAATAACAGTTTTCCCTTTTTAGTCATACATAAATTAATGTTGCATTCTATTTTTTAAATGAGAATATACATTGAATTTTAATAACATTTAATTTTAAAAAGAAACAAAAGTGAAACTAAGGAAATTTTTAAACTTCAAATAAGTGCTTATTTTCATTAGTAGAGATCTTAGTATTTAAAAGTAAAGGAGAGCTTGAAAACAGATTATTAAAAATTAGTTTGGAACCATTGGTATTTTCAAAAATCAATTCTACTTTAAGGTATAAATATTTAAGACTTCCTTTTTTAGTAATTGGTTGACATTATTTGCAAAAATAGCTTGGTAAAATAGAAAGAGCACTGAACTCACATATCTTGAATTCCAATTTTGGAAACCAATTAACCTTAAGAGATTTGTCCATTACTTTTGAAGAAATTTTCTTTCTACCAATGATACTCATGAATTTTGCACCATTTACCACTTCTTGGATCCTGCATTTCTAACTAGCTCCCAGTCTGTGGCGATGTTGCTGACCCATGGGCCACACCTTGAGTACTAAGACCTTTAAAGAAAATCTATCTGTATTCACATAGCTATTACCATATTCCTCATCTGGAAGATTTGACTCCCTTGTTTATTTTGGTTTTCTGAATATTTTAAGAAGCTACACCTTGGTAGTCCAAATTGCTCATAAAATCTTTAGCCTTTCTAAAAGTACATTGGGGAAATCAGATTACACCTGTTTTAGGGCATTTACTCCATGCCTGCCTAGTCAGATCTGGGCAAATACTAAATATGTGAGATTAATGTTGCCTGATATCTTGAAAATTTTCCCAGTGGAAGAGGAGATGTTACTTACTGGGAAGATGTACCCAAAGAAAACTTTCCCTCTTTTCCCTACTAAAGTACCAAATGATTCAGAAAGCAGCACCTCACACTCATCTGAATCACACTCAGGGATGCCTGTGCTAGGGATGTGGACCCCAATGCTTTGATTTACATCTAGGAGGGTTAGTGCACAGAAGGTAGTGCTGGTGAGCTAGTCCCACAGTTGGGTTAGTGCATAGAAGTTAGCTCTAGGGTGTGAGTCTCACAGCTGGGTTAGTGCCTGAAAGTCAGCTCCGGGGAGTGAGCCCCACAGTTGGGTTAGTGCATGCAAGTCAGCTCTAGGGGGTGAATCCCACAGCTTTGTTAGTGCATAGAAGTCAGCTCTGGAAGGTGAGTCCTACAGCTGGGTTAGTGCATGGAAGTCGGCTCTGGGGGGTCAAGTCCCACAGTTGGGTTAGTGCTCAGACATCAGTCCTGGCAGTAGAGTCCAATAGTTGGTTAGCTAGCACAAGAAGGAAGTCTGGTTAACCCTGTTTCAGAAATAAAACATTTATAAGGACATGTTTTAATAAGTTTTAAGCTTCAGTGATCTGTGTTATTGTATTGTTTGTTCTCATGCTGCCATAAATAAATACCTGAGATTGTGTAATTTATAAAGAAAGGAGGTTTAATTGACTCACAGTTCTACATGGCTGGGGAGGCCTCAGGAAACTTACAATCATGACAAAAGGCACCACCCCACAGGTTGGCAAGAGAGAGAATAAGAGCTGTGTGAAGGGGGGAAACCCCTTATAAAACCATCAGATCTTGTGAGAACTCACTATCACAAGAACAGTTTGGGGGAAACCACTCCTATGATTCAATTATCTCTACCTAGGTCTGCCCTTGACATGTGGGGGTTCTTACAATTCAAATCCCAGATTTGGGTAGGGACACAGAGCCAAATCATATTATTCCACTCGTGGCTCTTCCCAAATCTCATGTCCTCACATTTCAAAACATAATTATGCCCTTCCAACAGTCCCCCAAAGTCTTAACTCATTCCAGCACTAATCCAAAAGTCCAGGTCCAAAGTCTTATCTAAGACAAGGCTAGTCCCTTCTGCCTATGAGCCTGTAAAATCAAAAGCAAGTTAGTGACTTCCTAGATACAATTGGGGTACAGGCATTGAAAAAATACACCCACTCTAAATGGGAGAAATTGGTCAAAACGAAGGGGCTACAGGCCCCATTCAAGTCCAAAATCCAATAGGGCAATCATTAAATTTTAAACGTTACTAATTATTTCCTTTCACTCCATGTCTCACATCCAGGTCATGCTGATGCAAGATGTGGGTTCCCATGGTTTTGGACAGCTTCTCCCCTGTGACTTTGCAGGGAACAGTTCCCCTCCTGGCTGCTTTCATGGGCTGGTGTTAATTGTCTGTGGCTTTTCCAGGAGCATGGTGCAAGCTGTTGGTGGATCTAACATTCTGGGTTCTGAAGGATGGTTGCCCTCTTCTCACAGCTCCACTAGGCAGTGTCCCAGTGGGGACTCTGTGTGGGGGACTCCAACCCCAGATTTCCCTTCTGCACTGCCCTAGCAGAGGTTCTCCATGAGGGCTCCACTCTTGCAGCAGACTTCTGCCTGGACACCCAGGTGTTTCTCTACATCCTCTGAAATCTAGGCAGAGGATCCCCAACCTCAATTCCTCACTTCTGTGCACCGGCAAGCCCAACACTATGTGTAAGCTGCCAAGGCTTGGAGCTTACACCCTGTAAAGCAATGACCCGAGGTGTACCTTGGCTCCTTTTAGCCATGGCTGGAGCTGATGTAGCTGGGATGCAGGGCACCAAGTCCCAAGGCTTCACAGAACAGGGAGGCTCTGGGTCTGGCCCACGAATTTTTTGTTCCCCACTAGGCCTCTGGGCCTGTGATGGGAGGGGCTGCTGTGAAGGTCTCAGACATGCCCTGGTGACATTTTCTCCATTGTCCTGGTGATTAACATTTGGCTTCTCGTTAGTTAGCAACCAACTTGAATTTCTCCTCAGAAAATGTGTTTTTATTTTCTATTGCATCATCAGACTGCAAATTGTCCAAACTTTTATGCTCTCCTTCCTCTTGAATGCTTTGCCACTTAGAAATTTCTTCCATCAGATACCCTAAATTATCTCTCTCAAGTTCAAAGTTCCACAGATCTCTAGGGCATGGGAAAAATGTTGCCAGCCTCTTTGCTAAAACATAACAAGGATCACCTTTATTCCAGTTCCCAACAAGTTCCTTATCTCCATTTGAGACTACCTCAGCCTGGACTTCATTGTCCATATCGCTACGAGCATTTTGGTCAAAGCCATTCAACAAGTCTCTATGAAAGTTCCAAAGTTTCTCACATCCTCCTATGGTGGGAGCAGGCACCCCAGAATCTGGCTATAAACTGGCCCCCAAACTGGCCATAAACAAAATCTCTGCAGCACTGTAACATATTCATAATGGCCCTAAAGCCCAAGCTGGAAGGTTGTGGGCTTATGGGAATGAGGGCAAGGAATACCTGGCCTGCCCAGGGGGGAGAAACGCTTAAAGGCATTCTTAAGACACAAACAATAGCATGAGTGATCTGTGCCTTAAGAACATGCTCCTGCTGCAGTTAACTAGCCCAACCTAGTCCTTTAATTCAGCCCATCCCTTTGTTTCCCATAAGAGATACTTTTAGTTAATTTAATATCTATAGAAACAATGCTAATGACTGGTTTACTGTTAATAAATACATGGGTAAATCTCTGTTTGAGGCTCTAAGCTCTGAAGGCTGTGAGACCCCTGATTTCCCACTTCACACCTCTATATTTCTGTGTGTGTGTCTTTAATTCCTCTAGTGCTGCTGGGTTAGGGTCTCCCCACCCGAGCTGGTCTCGGCACTATCTTCTTCTGAGCCCTCCAAACTCTTCCAACCTCTGCCTATTACCCAGTTCCAAAGTCACTTCCACATTTTCAGGTATTGTTATAGCAGCACCCCACTCTACTGGTACCAATTTACTGTATTAGTCTGTTCTCATGCTGCTATGAAGAAATTCTCAAGACTGGGTAATTTATTAAAAAATAGTTTTAATTGTCTTAAAGTACTGCATGGCTGGGGAAGCCTCAGGAAACTTATAATCATGGCAGAAGACACCTCTTTACAGGGTGGCAGAAGAGAGAATGAGAGTCAAGCAAAGGGGGGACTCCCCTTATAAAACTATCAGATCTTATGATAAGTGACTCACTGTCATGAGAACAATATGAGGGAAACCACCCCCGTCATTCAATTATTTCCACCTGGTCCCACCCTTGACATGGGATTATTATGATTCAAGGTGAGATTTGGGTGGGGACACAGAGCCAAATCATATCACTTAAATTCTGTTTTAATTTCCAAATTGGAGTGTAGAATTTAATATTATCAAATTTAGGATAAAATGTCTTAACTGTATATACAGTATGTGTTTATAGCATTTATTTTAAAATATTTTCTTTTAGCTTTAGAGATGTAGCCTTTTTTCTTCCCACATTCTCCTTTTCACACTCCCTCCAAATGTTTCTCCCAGAACACTTCTTGGTGCTCTCATCTTCCTTGGAGAGAGGCTTCCTTCCCTCCTCTTCATTCTCATGTTGGGGCAGCTGGCAGAGGTCACAAGTTTGGAGGCCCAGCAGCCTCATCAGTATAGACTGGTGGCTTAGTGCAGATTAGAAGTCAGCCTAATGCCATCTGCAGTGACATTCTCTTCATCACTGTAATACTACCAAGAGGCATGGGGCTCCCAGGTGACACCCCCACTGACACCTGATGTCTCATCTCCATTCTCATGTCTGAGATGCATTAGAGCCTTCACCCTCAGGATCTTCCCACACTCAAGCCTGATCTTCACTGCACCTGGCAGCACATTCTTCTATTTTGCAAAATGGGATAACTGAAGACACAGTTTGTGTCATTGAACATACAGCTTGGATTTCTGTTTCTCATTCTCTTCTTTTTTTTTTTCCAAGTTGAAATTTGTAAGAAAAGAAGTGAGAAACACTATCTTTCCTCCACTACTTAAAAACCAGAAGCCTGGGCCAGGTGTGGTGGCTCACGCCTGTAATCTCAGCACTTTGGGAGGCTGAGGTGGACGGATCATGAGGCCAGGAGTTCGAAACCAGCCTGGCCAATATTGTGAAACCCATCTCTACTAAAAATACAAAAGTTAGCCGAGCAGGGTGGCACATGCCTGTAGTCCCAGCTACTTGGGAGGCTGAGTCAGAAGAATCACTTGAACCTGGGAGGTGAAGGTTGCAGTGAGCTGAGATCATGCCACTGCACTCCAGCCTGGGTGACAGAGTGAGACTCCATCTCAAAAGAAAGAAAGAAACAAACAAACAAACAAAACTAGGAACCTGTAACCTACCTTTAGTTTTACTTTTCTGAATAAATATCCATTTGCTTCCAAATTATTTACACTACACAACACACTTCCCCCACTGATTTGGAATACTATCCTTATAATGATGAAAATTTTATATTTATTCTTTTTTCTCTCATTTTCCTTTATTTCCATCCATGTTCATTTATGTCAACAGCACTTTTAATTATTGAAGCTATAGAATAAGTGCAGTTATGAGAAAGGGCTGTTTCCTCCCTGTGTTCTTATTTTTCTGAGCTTTACTCTCTTACAGAATCTTCCATTTGTGACTTTAGCTTTGCTGAGACCAGCTCGGTTGGGGAGACCCTAACTCAGTGGCACTAGAGGAATTAAAGACACACACACAGAAATATAGAGGTGTGAAGTGGGAAATCAGGGGTCTCACAGCCTCCAGAGCTGAGACCCGTGAACAGAGATTTGCCCACATATTTATTAACAGCAAACCAGTCATTAGCATTGTTCATATAGATATTAAATTAACTAAAAGTATCCCTTATGGGAAATGAAGGGATGGGCTGAATTAAAGGACTAGGTTGTGTGAGTTAACTGCAGCAGGAACACGCCCTTAAGACAGATCGCTTATGCTATTGTTTGTGGCTTAAGAATGCCTTTAAGCGGTTTTCCACCCTGAGTGGGACAGGTGTTCCTTGCCCTCATTCCCATAAACCCACGACCTTCCAGCTTGGGCGTTAGGGCCATTATGAATATGTTACAGTGCTGCAGAGATTTTGTTTATGGCCAGTTTGGGGGCCAGTTTATGGCCAGATTTTAGGGGGGCTTGCTTCCAACACGTCTCCCTTCTTTGATTTGCAAAGAGATAAAAGCAAGGGCAGCTTTGTCATGGTGAGCTACTTCTCGCAGGAGTCAGAATCCGCATCTGCAGACTATAAAAAGACAAACAACATAGATTAAAAGCACAGTCATCATTGAAATCACAGAGCTTCCAAGTGTTTTTATCCATTTTAATGGGTTACTAGCTGCTAATCTGTCTGCAGCTCCTTTAAGCACTCCAGTTCCTGGCATTAAGGTCAGGTGTGCCTGGGATGCTTTAAATATTTGTTCTTTTAATTTTGCTATATCCAAAAACAAGTTTATAGAGTGTCCTTCTAGATGCTTTTTTATTCTTTCCCAAATTTTGATCTTATTAAGAGCATTTAATAGTTTCCACAAATCCCTATGTTTAGCTCCTAGAGCAGGCCATATCATTTGAGGCTGAGGTGCCACTGTAACACCATGGTTCCAGATAATAGGAACTTTTGCTGTACTTCTTATCATTTCTACCATCTGACCGTTTTGTTCAGATCATCTGAACATAGTGTGGCCGTGGCATGCAGACTGAGGGGTGCAATTCAAGCTAAACATCCCCTTAGGGGACCAATTAATAATGATTCCATAGGAATTGTTGTGCAGCACCTCTGCCTGTTCTGCAGTGCAATCTTCCTAAACAAGTACGTTCATTTTTTCTAACTGTTTACAAATAGGTTTTTGAGGGTGGTATGCCTCAATTATAAGAGCAGATTTATTATGGTAAATACTGAGATCAGAAAGCATGTGTAACTGTGTCATAAAGTGATTGCATCCAGGCATTATTGCCAGCCAAGATTGATAAATATACCTAATAAGTATAATTGTTCTCTATGTCAGCCCTTATTGAAGGAATACTCATGGCAGTGGTGATAACTGCTATCATAGCTATCCTTAAATTATTCACTGTGACTGGCTGTCCCACTTTCCTCAGGTTTTCTTCCACCATCTTTGACAGCTTCTTGATTTGTCCCCAGGTGGGTGGCTGTGTTAAACGGGTGTTGCTCATGACAGTTGGGGTTCTCCTCAGCGTCAGTCTTGACATGGCTGTTATTGAGGGGTCCTCGGGGTCCTCTCAGAGTCTCTTCTTTGGCATCTGGCTCATGATAAGGTTTCAGGTGTCTTGATGGTATCCAAATCGGCTGTTGATTTTGGCCTGGAGAAATACAAGCATAACCTCTACCCCAAGTTATTATTTTACCTATTTCCCAACTTTTTGTTATTGGATCTCTTCACCAAATCTGTTGTTCTGTTTCTGTCTTTGCAGCTGGTTTCTGTCAATGCTGTTCAGCTGCTGATAACATCTGGCCTCTGGGCAGCCTCAAAAAATTTAAAGTTAATAATATTAGGTTCAGTTGTATCTGTGGTGTTCCATATTCTCTGTCTCCCCCTTTCTGCTTTTGCAACTGCTGTTTTAGGGAGAGATTCATTCTTTCTACTATGGTTTGTCCTTGAGAATTGTATGGGATACCAGTAATGTGTTTAATATTCCACATAGAGAAAAATGTAGCTAGAGCTTGGCTAGTACAGCCTGGGGCATTATCTGTTTTAATAGAAGCTGGAATGCCCATCACCGCAAAGCACTGTAAAAGATGATGTTTAACACAGGCAGAAGACTCTCCTGTTTGGCATGTAGCCCAAAGTGAGAAAAGGTGTCCACACTACATGTACATAAGCTAGTCTCCCAAATGAGGGAACATGTGTGACCTCCATTTGCCAGAGTTAGGTTCTAGTCTTCGAGGATTAACTCCTTCTGTAAAAGATGAGGAACGTACCACTTGGCAAGTTGGGCATCACTGGATAATAGCTTTAGCTTCTTTCCAGGTAATGCCGTATCTGCATTTGAGACCAGAGGCATTAACATGGGTTAAATTGTGAAAGTGTCTACCATTAGATATTGCAGTAGCAACTGGGTGATCAGCCATTTGATTTCCTTCAGTCAAAGGTCCTGGAAGAGTGTATGAGCTCTAATGTGAGTCACGTAAAAAGGGTGCATTCTACTTCTAACTGTTGTTTGCAATTGGGTAAATAAAGTCATCAGTTGTTCATCTGTATTAAATTGTAACTGAGCATTTTCAATTAACTGTGTGGACTGAACAACATATGAAGAATCAGAAATCACATTAATAGGCATATCAAAGGCAGTCAATACCTCAATTACCGCTATAAGCTCCACTTTTTGAGCTGAGGTACAGGATGTCTGGAAAACTTTAATTTTGAGCCAGAATAAGAAGCTTTACCATTACTAGACCCATCTGTAAAAACATTCTCAGCACCTTCAATTGGTTTAAATTTAGTTATTTTACGGAGAATCCAATTAGTTAATTTCAAAAACTGAAACAGCTTTGTTTTAGGAAAATGATTATTGAGAATACCCCCAGAGTCAGCTAAATGGGTTTGCCAAGTAAGACTATTTATAAAAGCTTGCTGTATTTATGCCTTCATGAGAGGGACAATAATTTTTCCAGGATCATATCCATGTAATTTAACCATCCAAGTTCTTCCAATCCCTATCAGAGTAGCGATTTGATCTAAATAAGGAGTTAGAGTCCATGAATTAGTATGTGGAAGAAAAAGCCACTCTACTAAGTCCTGTTCTTGGACAATAACACCAGAAGGTGAATGCTGAGTTGAAAAAATTAGCAAATCTAGAGTCTTCTCTGGATCTATTCTATTTATCTGAGCTTTATGGACTTGCTTCTCAATCAGTTGTAACTCTGCCTCCGCCTCCTTTTTTAATTGCCGAGGGCTAGTGAGACTAGGATTTCCTCTAAGGATAGAAAACAGATTACTCATGGCATAGGTAGGAATGCCTAGAGCAGGTCGTATCCAATTAATAACCCCTAGTAATTTTCGAAAGTCATTTAATGTTTTTAGTTGATCCCTACGTACGGTTACTTTCTGTGGCACAATGGTAGTGTCATTTACTAAGGTCCCCAAGTGGGAGTAAGGAGTAGTAGTCTGAATTTTGTCAGGAGCTATAATTAAACCAGCATGAGAAATCGAATTTTGCAAGTGATCATAACATTGGAGTAATATTTCTCAAGTGGGGGCAGCACAAAGTATATCATCCATATGGTGAATAATGTAACACTGTGAAATTTTTTTATGAGTACGTTCAATTGCTTGCCCCACATACGTCTGGCAAATTGTTGGGCTGTTTGACATGCCCTGTGGCAACACTTTCCAATGATAACGCTTAGCAGGCTGCAGGTTGTTTACTGCAGGAATAGTAAATGCAAACCATTCACAGTCTTGCTCAGCCAAGGGGATAGTAAGGAAACAGTCCTTCAAATCCATGGCTATTAAAGGCCAACTTTTTGGAATCATAGCAGGAGAAGGCAATCCTGGCTGTAATGCTCCCATAGGTTGTATAACTGAATTGATGGCTCTTAAGTCAGTTAACATTCTCCATTTACCTGATTTTTTCTTAATTACAAAAACTGGAGAATTTCAAGGAGAAAATGTTGGAGCTATGTGCCCATTTTCTAATTGTTCTGCAACTAATTTCTCTAAAGCTTCCAGTTTTTCTTTACTTAGTGGCCTTTGTTTTATCCAAATTGGCTTATCTGTTAACCATTTTAAAGGTATAGGTTCTGGAGGCTTAACAATGGCCACCCTCAAAAATTATTTCCTAATCTTTGGTGGGAACTTTGTTTTTCCACTTGAAGTGGTTCTTTCAAACCTTGCAAATTTTTTTCTAGTCCCATACCAGGGACATACCCCATTTCATGCATTGTATGTTGACATTGAGGGCTATATAATTGTTCTGGAATTAGAACTTGTGCTCTCCATTGTTATAATAAATCTCTTCCCCATAAATGTATAGTTACAGAAGTTATAATCGGTTGAATAGTCCCAGGTTGTCCATCAGGCCTTTCATAATGCAAAATATAACTACTTTGATATACTTCAGCAACTTTACCAACTCCAACTATGTTAAATTGAGTGGGTTGAATTGGCCACGTAGACAGCCAGTGCTGTAGAGAAATGATTGAAATGTCCACTCCTGTATCCACCAATCCTTTAAATTTCTTTCCTTGAATAGTTATTTCATAGGTAGGATGTTTATCAGTAATTTGATTTACCCAGTAATCTGCTTTGCCTTATTTATTTATGCTTCCAAATCCTCCTGTTTGTTTAATTTCATTTTTTCCCATTCCCACATATGGCACAATCAGGAGCTGTGCTATGTGCTCTCCTGGCTCTGCTTTCCAGGGAACAGAAGTAGATATAACAATTTGAATTTCCCCATTGTAATCTGAATCAATGACTCCTGTATGTATTTGCACCCCTTTTAGACTTAAACTAGACCTTCCTAAAAGTAATCCTATAGTCCCTGCTGGCAAGGGTCCACAGACTCCTTCTGGGACCTTTTGTGAGGGTTCCCCAGGCAGAAGGCTCACAGCTTTTGTGTAGCATAAATCTACTGTGGCACTACCAGTTGTGGCAGGGGACAGACATTGTACAGGGGTGAGGGAATGGCCTGAGCTGGAAATGCCCCAGTTTAGAATGGGGCCCAGGACGGGCCCCTCATGGCATTTTCCAAAATCTGGTTCCCATCTTTATCAAACTTAGAGTGACACTGATTAGCCTAATATTTTCCTTTTTTACATTTTGGACATATTTCAGGCTCAGCAATTTTCTTTTTTCCTCTATCTGGCAGCCTGACTCACTGATTTTTTGTACATTCTTTTTTAGTATGAATAGCTTGTTTAAATTATTTGAGTAATTTAAAAGGAAAAGGCTCAAATGTAGCTGTAATATTTCCCTGTTGATCTGGGGGGTGTATTCTAACAGGGAACTGCCAAGCCTCTAAATCACCATCTCATCTAGCTTGCTGAATTCCTGCCTGAATAGAACTAAGAACCATTGCTCGAGGTGCTGCTCAAACAGTCACTGGGGCAATTACTTTTCGCCCAGTGTCCTCTGGAAAAGAAAGATCTAGGAGATCATTTTCTTCAAAATAATAAGGAGGGGGTGCAGAAGGGTAGGAATGAACCTCTCCTTCCTTTGCTGCTTTAGCTTGAGCTGGCAAAGAAACATGCTATGTAACCTCTTCTATTACTTTGCTATACTCTTGTTCTTCCTTGTCATCAGTGTGAAAAAGTTCCAAGGCAGAATGAACCAGATCCCACACTTGTCCCATTGTTACCCTGATGCTTCCGAGCTCCCCTTCTTACTCACCATGGGGATTGCTTTAAGAGTACTTGGGTGTCCTCCAGCTAGTTTTCCATTCCAACCATCACTCTGGTGACACTTTGACCTGGATTTCAGCCCCCACGAATGAAATGGACGCCACTTGCCGAGACCAGCTCAACTGGGGAGACCCTAACCCAGCAGCGCTAGAGGAATTAAAGACACACACACAGAAATATAGAGGTGTGAAGTGGGAAATCAGGGGTTTCACAGCCTCCAGAGCTGAGACCCTTGAACAGAGATTTACCCACATATTTATTAACAATAAACCAGTCATTAGCATTGTTTCTATAGATATTAAATTAACTAAAAGTATCCCTTATGGGAAATGAAGGGATGGGCCAAATTAAAGGAATAGGTTGGGCTAGTTAACTGCAGCAGGAACATGTCCTTAAGACATAGATCGCTCATGTTATTGTTTGTGGCCTAAGAATGCCTTTAAGTGGTTTTCTGCCCTGGGCAGGCCAGGTGTTCCTTGCCGTCATTCCCGTAAACCTACAACCTTCCAGCTTGGGTGTTAGGGCCATTATAAATATGTTACAGTGCTGCAGAGATTTTGTTTATGGCCAGTCTTGGGGCCAGTTTATGGCCAGATTTTGGGGGGGGCTTGCTCCCAAGAAGCTTTATAGATATAAACACACATAAATGTGAGTTCATGGCATAATGTATTAATTAATATTGGAAAATTGAATGTTTATAATTTCAAAACTTTAGGTATGAAAGCAGCCAATAAATTGAGTTATTCAAAATGTATGCATTCCTTTATGTTTCACAGGAAAGTTTTATAATTTTTGATAATAGATGAGCACAGTTAGCTTTATTGCTTGATTTGTTAAAAGCTTTTTACTTGCTGCTATGAATGAGATTATGAGATTTGTTCCTTTGTTGCATTCTAATGCATTATTTTTGGTATACAAGAAAATTTGGTTGTTAGTGTTCTCATTTTTGTTATTGTTGCTTTTCTGAATTTTTAAAACTTTAAAAAAATTCCATACATTTTTTATATATAATTGCAAAAAGAAGCATATAAAAAGGTATGTTCATTGAAGGAATTTGAGGGAATTTGTAAATTTATAGAAACCTATAAATAAGCATAATCATACCCCATTCCATTAAGTGTCTGTGCAGTCAATATTTCCCTCTTGCCCTTTATCTATGGGTATACATGTCTAAATACTCAAAGTGATGTCATATTGGATATAAGAGTTCATGTCTTAATTTTCCAGTTACCAAGAACTTTTTCCCACATTAATCATTATTTATCACAAACATGATTTGTAAGGGCAAAATATATTCTAGATTATGACTGTAACAAGTTATTTTTATTTGGACAGTTTAATTTCAAATTTAATATGATAATTAATATTTTAGTCTCATTGTACACACATTTTTATTTAGATTCCAAGTTTTCTTTAGTTTCACTTCATAGAAATGAAATTACTAGATTAGAGGTTTTCAGATTAATTTTAGGCTACATGGAGAAATTAAGCCTGAGAGAGGTAAACTACCAGATTTTGTGAAGTAAAGGGAGACTCTCTCAGTAAGTCCTGGAAGAAGTCATAGAGACCAGCACAGAGGATGCATAGAATTATCCAAAACGCATGCTGGAGTAGAACTTGGAGGCAGAGAATAAGACAAACTTCATTTACCTAAAAATGTGGAAGTAAACATCTTAGCCTATACCAGACCTGAAAATCAGAAGTAGAGGGAGGAAGCCGTGGTGGGATCCTAATGATGATGAACATAGACAGTAACACTCAGAGTCTATCTACAGTGGGAAAGAGCCTCTTCCTGAAGGAGAAACATTGGAAATCTGATCTGTGTGAGACTTGGTGGCCCAGAGCACCGGCCCCCAGGGAATGGAAAGGCATGACTTGGAAGTGCACCTGTGCAGGGCGGCAGCATTGAGAAGGTGCAGTGCTCAGGAAGAGAGAGGTGCCTTGGAGACAGGACAAGACGCCTTTGGAGACTTGGTCATAAAGTGAAGGAGGAAAGCAGGCCTTACTAAATAAAGTTAGTTTCAAAGAATCAGAATAAAGCTGACCAAGTTAATAACAGCAAATCAGGGTCCTTTAATTAAAGCAAGTGTACGTACTGCAGCAGCAGGAGAGAGCACTGTTGAACTAAGAAACCAAGGAAGCCACGAAACCCCCACCCCCACCCCCACCCCAGCATGGCTTGCTTTTGCTAGTTCAGGAGCATCTTACTTAGAAATCATGAAAAGATCATCATGAACATCCCTACAAAGTCAAACAAAGTGCAACAACCAAAATGATTTTAAAAAGAGAACCATCAGATAGAGAAAAGTTGTAACACAGGATATAAAATTGAATCAAATTTAATTAAATAAAGCAGTTTCACGTAAAAAAGCATATCATGTATCTAAAATGTCAAAACTCAGCATGGAAATGAACAACTAGAAGAGAGTGAAAAGTGAGTCAACAAAATTCTTACTATAAATCAAAAAACAAAACAGGCAAAAGTATCTCAGAAAGAATAACTCAACTGCAAAGACCCCAAAGTAGAGTAGATATTATGAAAAGTACCAAAGGGGGATGAACAATAAGAATGTAAATTATTAAGAAAATAAAAATACAGTAAAAGGAAGTACACAACCTCTGATATAAATTTTGTGACAGACATAGAATATGGGGGAAGATAGCTAAAATACATGCTTAGAATCAGTGAAGAGAAAACAAAACAATGAGAGAACTAATATTTAAAACTGTAACTGAAGAACAATATCTGTTAAATAAGAGACTTAACTACATATGAGAAGAATCCACTATATACTTGAGGAAATAGATTCAAAATTGTCAGTTCTAAAAACTACCCAAGCAAAGTTAGTAGACATAAATGTAAAGGGAAAAATACCTCAAGGGCCTCCAGGCAAGAAGGCACATTACTGAGAAGGGAAAGAAAATCAGTATGATACCAGCTGTTTCATTAAACAACTGTGGAATACCACCATCAAGAAGCTCAAGGAAGAAAGATGCAAGTAAAGAATTCTATATCCAGTCAAACTTCTTTGAGATTCAAAGCAGTAGAAAAACAATTTAAACATGCAAGAGCTCTGGGAATCTTGTATTCAGAAACACTTCCTGAGGATTATACCAGAAAACAAGCTTTATGCAAACAAGAGACTGCTGAAGAAACTTGGGTAACAAAGAACAGCAGGGAAAATAGAATGTATTTCTCTGTAAATCTAAGACTAACTTACAGTGGAAATGGGCTGAAACAATAATATATACTAGTAATATGATCTATAATGTATTAATAGCCAACTTAAAATGGAAGCTAAAAATATAGGGAAATGGGAAAATAGAAAATGCTTACTAAGTAGGTTAGAGGTAAGAGTCAAATGATATTTAAGCTTGTCAAACCAAATAGGAGAAGCTTATGAAAGAAAGGAATAATAAGAATGTACATAAATTAATTGGCATGAAGGTAATGCTAAAATAAAAATATCATTCTTTCTAAAGACCAAACACAAACACAAAACAATCACCAAAAACTTGAGTAGAACAGTTTAGTGATTAATTCTCATAAGTCAATCAAATGAAATATCTACTCTTTCAATCTTGAAATGGGATTCAGTGGGAAAATATAGCATAAAATATTTTGAATCCTCATTCTTTCACTCTTGGTTTAGGCCTCTAAATGAATGTGACTGATGACTGAAAGAATGCTAGTGACTCTTCCTGGACAGTAACTTGATGGTGACAGTGCTCCCTACACAGATGCCTGCTCAAAGTAGGGAGCTGTAGGTCAGAAAGATCAGTGTACTATGCAGAAGCAGGAAGGGAGCCATGTCCAGCACATGGTTTGACCTGGATTCACTCCTCTTACTGTATTCCCTGTTCTTGTTCTGACCATTGTCTGCTCCTCACCAATCCATCTTCTAAAATTTGTTATACCAGAATTTTAATATTCTTTGAAATATTACTCCTCGGACTGGTATCTCATTACTATTGCCTTAACTGTTTTATATTATTTAGTAAGAACAATATAACTAATACTGTGAATATTATATTTTTGTGTACGGGTATTTTTTTAATAACATTTTAGTTCATAAATAAACTTCATTATTTTTTCCTTTCTCATCCAACAAAGAAAGATAGTAAACACATTCTTGAAGAAATTTTTCATATAAAAATTATAAACAAAAGGCCAAATTTACCACTAAAAGTTTTTCACCACTTATATTTTCACTCCAGTAAGAATAGTTTAGTTTCAACAAATCATCACTGGAATTAATATTGCCTTTTTACCTTCACTACATTAAAGAGTCAAAAAAGGTATTTCTTCATTTTAATCTTCATTTTTTTTTTTGTATTTATTGATCATTCTTGGGTGTTTCTCAGAGAGGGGGATGTGGCAGGGTCATAGGATAATAGTGGAGAGAAGGTCAGCAGATAAACACTTGAACAAAAGTCTCTGGTTTTCCTAGGCAGAGGTCCCTACGGCCTTCTGCAGTGTTTGTGTTCCTGGGTACTTGAGATTAGGGAGTGGTGATGACTCTTAATGAGCATGCTGCCTTCAAGCATCTGTTTAACAAAGCACATCTTGCACCGCCCTAATCCATTTAACCCTGAGTTGACACAGCACATGTTTCAGAGAGCACAGGGTTGGGGGTAAGGTTATAGATTAACAGCATCCCAAGGCAGAAGAATTTTTCTTAGTACAGAACAAAACGGAGTCTCCCATGTCTGCTTCTTTCTACACAGACACAGTAACAATCTGATCTCTTTTTCTTTTCCCCACATTTCCCCCTTTTCTTTTTGACAAAACCACCATCGTCATCATGGCCCGTTCTCCATGGTCGCTGTCTCTTCGGAGCTGTTGGGTACACCTCCCAGATGGGGCGGCCATGCAGAGGTGCTCCTCACTTCCCAGACAGGGTGGCTGGGCAGAGGCGCTCCTCACATCCCAGATGATGGGCGGCTGGGAAGAGGCGCTCCTCACCTCCCAGACGATGGGCGGACAGGCAGAGACACTCCTCACTACCCAGATGGGGCGGCCAGGCACAGGCACTCCTCACTTCCCAGACAGGGTGGCCGGGCAGAGGCGCTCCCCACTTCCCAGACGATGGGCCGCCGGGCAGAGGCGCTCCTCACATCCCAGACGGGGCAGCTGGGCAGAGGCGCTCCTCACTTCCCAGATGGGGCGGCCGGGCAGAGGTGCTCCTCACATCCCAGACAGTGGGCGGTCGGGCAGAGACACTCCTTACTTCCTAGATGGGGGGGAGACCGGGCAGAGGCGCTCCTCACTTCCCAGATGGGGCGGCCAGGCAGAGGCGCTCCTCACTTCCCATTCGGGGCAGCCGGGCGGAGGTGCTCCTCACTTCCTCCCAGACGGGGCGGCTGGGCAGAGGCGCTCCTCACAACCCAGACGATGGGCAGCCAGGCAGAGATGCTCCTCACTTCCTAGATGGGGTGGTGGCTGGGCAGAGGCACTCCTCACTTCCCAGATGGGGCGGCTGGGCAGAGGGGCTCCTCACATCCCAGACGATGGGTGGCCAGGCAGAGACGCTGCTCACTTCCTAGACGGGGTGGCGGGCGGGCAGAGGCTGTAATCTTAGCACTTTGGGAGGCCAAGGCAGGCGGCTGGGAGGTGGAGGTTGTAGCCAGCCGAGATCACGCCACTGCACTCCAGCCTGGGCAACACTGAGCATTAAGTGAACGAGACTCCGTCTGCAATCCCAGTACCTCGGGAGGTCGAGGCAGGCAGACCACCCGAGGCCAGGAGCTGGAGACCAGCCCGGGCAACACGGCAAAACCCCGTCTCCACCAAAAATACAAAAACCAGTCAGGCGTGGCGGCGTGTGCCTGGAATCCCAGGCACTTGGCAGGTCGAAGCAGGAGAATCATGGGAGCCCGAGGCAGGGAGGTTGCAGCAAGCCGAGATCATGGCAGTACAGTCCAGGCTCAGCAAGAGAGGGAGACCGTAGAAAGAGGGAGGGGGAGGGGGAGGGGGAGGGGGAGGGGGAGGGGATCTCCATTTTTAACTACCAGTGTGGCTTAAAATTTTTTAATGTTTGTTGGTCGTTGTATTTGTTTCTCTATGATATGTTTCTCTCTATCCTTTGCTCAGCATAGTATTTTTCTTTTGGCATAGGAACATTTTATGTTTTAAGTTTATGCATTTTTGTCTCTCTGATTTATTACAATTAATTTCTTTAGTTTTTAGTTCATTATTTTCCAAAGTAATTTTATAAAAATTACATAAAGGACTCAAACATCTTTAGCCAACAGATTTTAATCATTATTTACAGAACAATCTACCCAAGAACAGTAGAATACATATTCTTTTCAGGTACCCGTGGGCTGTGTACCAAAATAGACCATATCCCGAATCATGGGGGGAAAAACCTCTAAACAAATTTAAAATATTTGAAACTATACAGACTTTGTTCTCTGACCACAATGAAATCAAACTAGAAATAAAAAACAGAAAAATAACAGGAAAATATCCAAACACTTAGAAGCTAAACAACACACTACCAAGTAATCCATGAGCTACAGAGGAAGTCTTAAGAGAAATTAAAAAATATATATATTGAATTGAATGAAGATGAAAATACAACATATCAGAACTTATGGGATGCAGGTGATATAGTTGAGAGGAAAGCTTATAAAAGTAAACTCTTACGTCAGAAAATAGAAAACATCTCAAATCAATAAGCTAAGCTCCCACATCAAGATATGAAAAGTAAAAAAGAGCAAAGGAAACCTATTGCAAGCAGCAGGAGGGAAATTATAAAGATAGAAGCAGGAATTAATACAATTGATGACAAAACTAACAGAAAACCCAAGAATCAAAGAGCTGGCTTTTGAAAAAGTCAATAAAATCTGCAAACCTTTTACAAGGCTATCAAGAAAAGAGTGAAGAAACAAATTACCAATAAAACAGAAATATCCCTACAGACATTGCAGAAATCAAAAGGGGATAATAAGCATTTACTAGGAACAATTCTACACACATAAATAGGAACACTTGGAATGGAGTATTTCCTCAAAAAACTATCATAATTTGTCCATTATGAAGTAGATGATAGACTTGCCTTATGTCTACTAAGGAAGTTAAATTTGCAATTTAAAAGATCCCTCCAAAACTCTCCAGTCCACGTGGTTTTCCTGGAGAATTCAACCAAGTATTTAAAGATAAATTAACAACATTAATTTTATGCAATGTTTTCCCTAAAATAAAAGAGGAGAGAACATGCCCAAAGTCAGGTCATATACAGTATTTACTGATACCAAAACCAGGAAAAGTCAGTACAAAAGAAGAAAAGTACAGACCAGTATTCCTCATGAATATGAATGCAAAAACTCTTATTTGTAAAATAAAAAGTATGGAAGAAAAATATTAGCAAGTAGAATTCAGCAATACATACAAAGAATTATCTACTATGATGAATGGAATATGGCTGGTTCAATAGTCAAAAAACCAGTCATTGTAATGCACTCTATTTACAGGCTAAAGAAGAAAAATCACATGTTCAAATGAATTGATGCTGGAAAAGCCTTTGATACAATGGAACAACAACTCATGATAAAAACTCACAGAAAATTAGAACTAAGGGAAACTTCCTTAATTTGAAAAATAGCATCTTCAAAATCCCTACAGTTAGAATCACACTTAATAGTGAAAGGCTGAAATGCTTTCCTTTTTTTTTTTTTTTTTTTTTGAGATGGAGTCTCGCTGTGTCATCCAGGCTAGATGGAGTGAAGTGTTGTGATCTTGGCTAACTGCAACCTCCACCTCCTTGGTTCAAGCAAATCCCCTGACTCAGCCTCCCGAGTAGCTGGGATTACAGGCACGCGCCACCATGCCCGGCTAATTTTTTCTTTTTTTTTGTAATTTTAGTAGAGATGGGGTTTCACCATGTTGGCCAGACTGGTCTCGAAACTCCTGACCTCAGGCAATCTGACTGCCTTGGCCTCCCAAAGTGTTGGGATTACAGGCGTGAGCTACCGTGCCCTACCAAATGTTTTCCCCTTAAATTTGAGAACAAGTGGGGGATGTCCATGCTCATCACCTTTCTTCAATGTAGTCCTAGAAATGCTAGTCAATGTAATAAGGCAACAAAAGGAAATAAAAGCAAATAGATTGAAAAGAATGAAATAAAACTCTCCATATATGCTGATGAACTCATTGTTTATGTAAAAATGCCAAAGTATCTATCAAAACCAAAACCAAAAAAATACCTTCTAGGACTAAATAATATGTTTAGTGAGATCATAGAATACAAGAAAAAAGCTAAAAAAAACTATTATATTTCTGTATGCTAGCAATGAACACATAGAAACCAAAATCAAAGACACAATCTAATTATAATCACTCAAAAAATGAAACATTTAGGTGTATATCTAATAAAACACATGCTGGACTTGGATTCAGAAAATTACCAAAGGCTGCAGAAATGAATCACAAGTCTAAATAAATGTATCTAAACATACTATGTTTATGGATTGGAGATACAACAGAGTAAAGATGTTAATTCTTCACAAATTGATATACAACGTTAATGCAATATCTATCAAATTATCAGCAAAAGTCTTTTTTTTGAAATAAGATTATTCTAAAATTGTTATGAAGAGACAAATGTACTTGAATAGCTAAAACAATTTTGAAAAAGAATAAAGTGTGAGAGATTACTTGATTTCAAAATTTATTATGTAACTTGTGATTAATACTGTGGTATTGGCAGAGGAATAGGCAGATCAATGGAACAGAATAGAGAAACCCAAAATAGACCCACAATAGTGCAGCCAAGTTATTTTTGATAAATGTGCACAAACAATTTAATGTGCAAAGAATATTCTTCCTAATAAATGGTGTAGGAACACTTGGATATCTGTAGGTAAAACAGGGAAACTTGAACTAAAGCTGACACTTTATACAAAAATTAACTCGAAGTGAATCACACAGTTAAATGTAAAACCTAAAACTCTAAAACTTTTAGAAGAAGACATAGGAGAAAAATTTCTGGGACTTTCTTCAGTGCTTCATGAACAGTTCTTAGATATGACACCAAAAGCACAATTTATAAAAAGAAAAGTCAATAAATTGGGCTTCATCAAAACTAAGAATTTTTCTCTGTGAAAGACTTTGTAAAGAGGCTATAAAGACAAGCCATAGGCTGGGAAAAATATGCATCAATCATAAATCTTACAAATAACTCATATCTAAAATGTATAAGGAAATCTCAACACTTAACAGTAAAAACATCTAGTTAGAAAATGGGTAAAAGAAATGTTGAGTTATTTCACAGAGATGATAAATGAATGGCAAATAAGCACATGAGAAGACGTTTGACATCAATAGTCATCATAGAAGTTCAGGGTAAGCCTGTGATGAGATGTACCTACACAGCTATCAGAACAGCCAAAATAAAATATGGCAATAGTGCCAAATCCCGGTAAGGATGTGAAAAATGGGGTCTCTTATTTGTTGCTGGTCAAAATGTAAAATGGTACAGCCACTCTCGAAATTGTTCAGCAATTTCAGCTATTGCACTCCTGGGCATTTATCCCAGAGAAATGAAGACTTAGGCTTAGCCAAAAACTGTATATGACTGTTTATAGCAGCATCATTTGTAATAGCCAAAAGCTGGACACTGTAGATGTCCTACAGTAGGTGAATGGTTAAATAAACTGTGATACATTGACACGATGGAATGCTATTTAGGAATAAAAAGGAACGGACTACTGACATACACGACTTGGGTGAATCTCCAGAGCATCATGCTAAGTGTTAAAAGCCCATTTCTGAAAGTCACATTCTGTGGATTCCACAGAATCCACATTCTACAGCACTTCTACAGCATTCTTTAAATGGCATAATTATGGATATGCAAACAGATTAGTAGTTGCCATAAGTTAGGGATGGGGCGGAGGTATGAGAGTTGTGATGATTAAGGGGTGACATGAGGGACATCTTTGCAAGTGTGGACCAGCTCTGTCTCCTGAGGTGGGGCTTTCACTAATCTACACAAGGGGTTACATGACATGGAACTGCACACACGCAATGCCAGTGTCAATGTGCTGACTGTGATATTGTACTATAGTTATGTTAGATGTAACCATCAGGCAAATGGGGTGAAGAGTACACAGGATCGCTCTGTAACATCTGTGTAACTTCTTGTGAATCTATGATTATTTCAAAATAAAAAGTTTAAAAAATCACTTGCTGTCTTTGCAAATAAACATTTTATCTATTGTGTAAAAATACGGTTAAATGTATAATAAAATAAATAATACATAGAAATCACAAAGTGGCCATTGATGATCTTAAATAGTGACTACTCCACTTACATTCAGTGATCTCCCTGAAGTTCATCTTTCGTGCCTACCATTTTGGCTTAGCCAGGGGCAACTGTTTTAAGACCTTGCTTATTTCTGGTCAACAGAAATGTGTTACATTTAGATAATACTGGAGCCATGGTGTGTAGTCACCACCAGAGCAATTTGTCCTGTGTTAACCAATGACATATTGCATCTTACTGGGCTCTAGTTGTTTATTAGTTTTCAATATCTTCCTCACTTTTTACCTGTTCCAGCATTTTCAGTTTGTTTTTTACAATTTTCTGGCTTCTCTGTTTCTTTTTTTTTTTTTCAGTTTTTTTTTCTCTGTACATTTCATTTGGGATAGCTTCTATTGCTATGTCTTCAAGTTGATTAATCATTTTTTGTGGAGTGTCCAATCTGCAGTTAATCCTATCTAGTATCCTATCTAGTACATTTTTCATCTCAAACATATTTTTCATCTCTAGAAGTTCACTTTGAGACTTTAAAAAATACCTTCCAAAGGTCTGGTTGACAAATGCCCAGGTATTTCTCCACCTTCCTGAATATTTGGATTATACTTATAATAACTGTCTGTCTACTAATTCTGTTATCTGTGTCATGTCTAGGTCTGTTTCGATGTATTGGGATTTCTCCTCCATATGGGTCATATTTTTATTCTTCTTTCTGTGTCTGGTTGTTTCAGTTGGATTCTAGACATTGTATTTTTACCTTGTTGGTACAGGATATTTTTTTATTCCTGTAAATATTCTGAGTTTAGCTCTGAGATGCAGTCAAGTGACTTGGAAATAGTTTGATCTTTTGAGAATGAGCTTAACAACATGGTGGGACAAGAGTGGATTTAATTTAGAGCTGGTGTTTCCCATGCTTAGCAAGACTGGGTGCTCCCTCCAGTGTCTTGTGTCTGCTTTTCCTAATGGGAACATAAAGTATTCTTGTTTCTGAGTGAGCTGAAGGAATTTCTCTCTCTGCTCCTTTCTAGCGATTTCTTTCCCAGCCTTGGGCTCTTTCTTTACACACGTGCACTGATGATACTCAGCTGAAGGCCAAGGGCAGGTCTCTGGGTATCTCTCTCTGCATAACTGCTCCTTGCTGTTTACCTGTCTTGGCCTCTGTGGATTTCCAAGTCTATCTCCTCAACTAAGATAAATGCAGGGCCCTGCCTCGGTTGCCCCTCCTGCAGTTATTATCTAAGCTCTCTCTGGGCAATGAGGCAGGGCAATTATAGGACTCACTGTTTTATTTCTCCTCTTTAGGGATTACTGTCCTGCACTACCTGGTGTCCAATGTCGGAGAGCTGTTGCTTCTTCCATTATGTCTGTTCAGTTGATTGAGGTGGGAGGGTTAATTTGTTTCTGCTCATACAAGTTGACTTCTACAAAGTCACTTCTATCCCTTTGTCTTCACAGACAGTCTCCATTTTATTGGAAAGAAGCTCAATCTCAGAATAAAATACTCAGTGATACCATTCTCTTGAGTGTCTTATGACCTCACAAGTTGAAAATCGCTGCTCAAAGCCTAGACAGGCCTTCACTGGTGTCCTGAGCTCATATGGTGCCTCATGGACGGCTGGACTCAGAAAGCCTCATCCACAAACTAGGATCTGAAACAGCCTCTCCGGAGCACTGCCTCTCCCAGGTTAGCCCCTCAGTAAGTAGACCAATTCCCAATGATGCAAAAACAAAGCACCCAAAGATAAGGGGCATCCAAAAATGATTTTATTGTGTTCCCAGACTGTGTGTCAGAAATTCAAGCAGGGCACAGGAAGGACGTCTTGTCTCTGCTTGGTGATTTCTGGTGCCTTGGTGGGAATTCTCAGTGACTAACAGCTGAGGCTGGACTGACTGGGGTGTCCTCACCTGCAAGTCTGGCAGTGGATGCCTATTGTCCACTGGCTCCTTGGCTGAGGCTGACCTGTGGGTAAGGATGGGAGCACTGCATGTAGCCTCTCCATATTGCCCAGACTTCCTCACAATATATGTTTCTTACATGTGGCTCAGCTCTCCAAAAACAGTGGTGGGCACCCAGGTGGGAGATGCATTATTTTTTAAAAAATAACATAAATGTAATTTTCAGAGCAGTTTTAGGTTCACGGCAAAATTGAGTAGGAAGTGTGAAGAGTTTCCGTAAATCTCTGCCTCTCCATCAACATTCCCACCAGAGTGGCATATTTGTTATCGGTGATGTCTTACATTGCCACAGATGGGCTTCTTTAACTCAGCAATATCCACTTAAGATTGCTCCATGTCTTTTCATGGCTTGATAGCTCACTTCTTTTTAGTACTAATGAATGTTCCATTATCTGGATGTACCACAGTTTATCCATTCACCTGTTGGAAGACACCGTGGTTGCTTCTATATTATGACAATTATGAGTAAAGCTGCTATAAACATCCATGTGCAGGTTTTGTGTGTCCATGCACTTTCAAATGTTGGATCATATGGGAGGAAGTATGCTTAGTTTTGTAAGAAACTGACAAATTGTCATCCAAAGTGGCTGCACTGCTTTGCATTCCCACCAGCAATGAATGATAGTTCCTGTTGCTCACCATTCTAGCGTTCAGTGCTGCCAGCATTTTGGATTTTTACCATTCTAATAGATGAGTTGTGTTTGGTGTCTCGTTGTTTCAGTTTCCCTGATGAAATGTGATGGAAGTGTCTTTTCATATGCTTAATTGTCATTTTAATAACTTCTTTGGTGAGACTGCGTTGTTTTTTAAGGCCTAATCTTGGAAGTCACACAGCATCAAATCTATATTGAAGCCATCAAAAGCCTGACAACATTTGATGGAGGCAAATATAGATCCACTCTGCTTGGAAATGTGGCAAGTCACATTGAGGAACAACGTGGATATGAGGACTGAGGAAGACATCGCGGGGAAATACAATCTACTCTGGCATCTTCAATAAGATAGAACAACGCACCTATGAGTGTTTAGAGAAACTGGGGCCAGGGCATGGAAAGAACTAAACATACTTGGAAGAATATCTTGTGAAGACTTGATTAATGTGGTCTGGGTTCCTTGACAGATGATCATTTAAAATAGTGGCAGACAGCCACAGAATCGTGTTACAGATCATTCACACAACATCCCCACTCTGGCATAAATTACATTTTTTAGTCCATAGCAACAAAAGTAATGTCTTGAGAAAGTCGTGCAATCTATGTGGGGTTCCATTATTTTATTCTTAAAAAGTGTAGTGTGAACTAGAATCCCTGAAAGACCTCTTTCCCTTCTAAATCTCTATATTTTTTTTTTTTTAGGTAGATCTAAGTTACCAGGAGGCAAATTTCTCCTTCCTGTAAAGAT
Source organism: Homo sapiens (assembly GCF_000001405.40). NCBI lineage: Eukaryota > Metazoa > Chordata > Mammalia > Primates > Hominidae > Homo > Homo sapiens. The sequence continues at coordinate 430,069 of NW_025791781.1, read as the reverse complement.
GAAATCCACCTAAGGGTGAAGGTTACTTAGAAGGTGATAGAAAGCATTAGCTGGCCCTCTTACTAATTTTGAGGGAAACTATGGGGAAAGGAAACAAATACCCCGAACTGCTAAGCGTTGGCTTCATGTCTTGTCCTCTTGCCCTAATTCCATGAAAGCCGCCCTCAGAGTGCACAGATTTGTCAGGTAAAAAGAAGAGATGATTCTTTCAGTCCTGGCTTGTTCAAAGCAGTCTCAGTGATAAACAGGTCTACAGATGAGCTTTACCTGTAGAAAATTGTATTCAAAAGCTCCCAGATCTTCTTATAACCACAAGGTCAATGTTTAAAAAGAAAGGAAACAAGTAGAAAAAATCTTAATGACATCATTTTCCTGTGCGGCTCTCATTTCTTACATTGCTTTACTTTTCTGTCATTTGCACTGACTTTTCAGGTCCAAATGTCAGGTATCAGAATTCAAAGGGAAACACTTTCTCTCACTTATCTGTGTTTCTGTTCCCCAGAGTCCCAGGCCTAAATTTCAGATTCTATTTTTATAGTCCTCACAGTGGAGAGTTATGTGGAACACATTGATTGTAGCCAGTTAGGTGTTGAGAAATTTCCTTTACTAAAAGCTTTGCATGACTTGAAAAAGGAGAGATCTGGGCAAGCAGTAAGACTCAATATTCAGGAAAAGATGTTTTTTCCAGTGTGAGCCTGCAGTTGTTACTTACAGCCTAGTGTTCTGTCTGCATCCAACAGTTTTAAAAGGAGCTGCAGATGCTCCTGGAGAAAGTTCTAGTCTTACTTGATGCCTATCAGAAATTCAGACATTTCATTAGTGCTGGAGACCGTTTACTCTTCTTGTAGCACAAAATAAGCAATTTTATACAATACTCACCTATTGTCCGGTAACAAGCTTTCCTATTTTTTTTGTGTGTGTGTGCGTGATCTCAACTTACATATCATGTCTTCAGAGAAAGCTTTCCGGCCCCTTATTCCATAGCCTCAATCCCAGTCTAGGCCCAGTTCCTCTTTTCTATGACTCTCAGAATATTTTGAGCTTGTTTCAAGCATTTATCTGCTTATGAGTAGTATTATTGGACGAATGTGTCTTCTGTACAGCCATGGAAAGCCTCAGAAAATGCCCATGCTGATGTTCGTAGCTCAGTGCATGCACAGTAGATATGCAAAATATAACTGTCAAATGAATGAAGAAATGAGAATTTCTTCTTCCAATCTCCATTTCTTAAATCAGAAAACAGAAGCTAAAAATTTAAGACTCTTATTTGTGATCTTGTGGTTGATGCGTGGTATAGATGGTCATGGAATTGAGGTCTCTAACAGCCCCCACCCTATTATGTGCCAGATGTACTCTGTTTCAACTGCCTTTAAACCCACTGTATCAGGTTTGATTTTTTTTAAAGTCAAACAAGAAATAAATTGCTGCTTGTTACATATTAGTTGCAGTAGAACAAACTGAGACGTATCCCTTTGTTCAGAGTGGGACCTACTCAGTAAAGATGCCTCAGGAAAAATTGCAGTCCACACTTGCTGCAGTATAGTGCATTTGTTTTGTTTTTCAAAACATCTTATGACCTAGCCAGTCTCTTAATGACACAACAGATGGTCCTAGAAGTTAGCTTGCAAAGCATTTTAAGCTTTCTTCACTAGAAACTTCTATGTATCTGTGCAGGGATAAGATAAAAACATGTTTGGATGAAGTTGTTATAAAACCTCAAGAATCAACGTACAAAGATATTACAGAAACAGTATGAAATATTCAAGTATCTTGATATACCATTGGGGGTGTGTGTGTGTGTGTCTGTGTGAACTTTTCTCAATAAACTAAATTTTTTGGATAATTGTTATAATTTCCTTTTATAAAAAAGTTTTTTTGTGTGTGTTTCAACTTTCGACATTCTCAGGCTGATGAATATTTAATTATTACTAAATAATATTGAAAATAAATAGTTTTAAGTCTCTTCCACATGCATTTTTTGGTTCACATCTCTGATTTATATTATTAAAATAATCGACTTGGTTGTTTTTAATATTTAATTTTTCTCATTTGTTAAATTAGGGCATAGTTACATAGAGTAAAATTGACGTGTGTGTGTGTGTGTGTGTGTGTGTGTGTGTGTGTAAAGTTCTGAGAGTTTGGCAAACATATGCAGTCATAGAACACCACAACCATTAAGATTTAGAACAGCTCCATCTCCCTATAAACTCTGTTGTAGTCAACCCCCAGCCTGCTCCCAGGCCTGCATCCATGAATCTACTTTTTGCCCTGATATTTTGCTTCTGAAAGAATGACATACAAATGAAATGATATAGCATGGAACCTTTTGAGTCTAGCTCCTTTTACCCAGCATAATCCATTTGGGATTTATCCATGTTGTGGTGTGGATTGGTGGTTCATTTTTCATTACTGCTCAATTGTATTCATTGTATATATGCACTTCGGTTTGTTCATTTATTCTGCAGTTGAGGACTATAGGAGTTGCTTCCAATTCATGAATAAAACCACTGTAACAGTTTATGTACAGGTTTTTTTGGTGTGTGTGAACAAAACCTTTTATTTCACCTGGATAAACACCTCAGAGTGGTCACTATATTAAGTATATGTTCAATTTTGTATTGTATTGCCAAACTATTTTACAAAGTATCTGTACTATCTTGCGTTGCCAAAAACAATGTGTGATAGTCCAGTTACTCAGCATCCCTGTCAGCATTTTGAATTGTTTACAATTGTAGCCAGTACATTAATGCAGAGTAATATCACATTATAGTTATTTGCTTTTCCCCAATGACTAATAATATTGAACACATTTTATATGCTTATTAGGTATTCATAAATCTATTTGAATTTTCAGATATTTGGACCATTGTTTAAAAAGCATTGCTTTCTTATTTCTGAGTTTTGAGGATCTTTATATGTCGAATGGTTACAAGTCCTTTATCAGATATATAATTTGCAAACTTGTTTTCCCCGTCTATGGCTTTTCTGTCTTTTCAGTCTCTTAACACTGTCCTCCCAAGAAGAAATGTTCAGTTTGATGATGTCTAATTTATCACTTTTTTTCTTTTATGGATTCTGCTTTTGGTGTTGTATCTTAAAAATCTTTGCCTAACTCAAGATAACAAATATTTTCACTCATGTTTTCATTTAGAAGTCTTAGAATTTTACATTTTACATTTAGTTTATGATGTATTTTGAGTTGATTGTTGTATAGGATATGAGTTAGAAATTGATGTTGTGTTTTTTGTTTGTTTGTCTTTGCATATGAGTATACAATTGTCCCAGCCCTTTTGTTGAAAAAAAATTTTCTTTCTTTATTGAATTGCCTTGGCATTTTTACTGAAAAATCAATTGACTGTAAATAGGTGGGTATATTTCTGGCCTTTCTTTTCTGTTTCCTTTATCTGCATGATTATTAATAGTCTCTTACTGTATTACTTGACTACTGAAATTTTATAATAGGTCTAGAAATCAGGTAGTGTGAATCCTTCAAATTTGTTCTTATTTATTTATTTACTTATAGATGTGCCTTTTTATTTTCCTATAATTTTAAAATTAAATCTTTGGTTTTTCTAAAAAATGCTGCTGGATTTTTTGTTAAAGTTGTGTTGAGTGTGTGGAGAGTTGCAAGTGAACTGACATCTTAGCAACAGTGACTTTTCCAGGCCATGGATATGGTATATCTCTGTTTTGTCTTTGATTTCTTTCATCAGGATTTTCTACATTTCAGTGTACAGACCCTACACATACTTTATGATATTAATATCCAATTATTTCATGTATTTCATCCTATTGTGAATGGTACGTTTTTAAAATTTCAACTTCTAATTATTCACTGGCGGAAGGTAGAAGTACAATTCATTTTTCTGTATTGACTTGTATTCTGTGACCTGCTAAACTCACATATTGGTTCTAGAATCTTTCCTGTAGATGCTTTACAATTTTCTATGTAAACAGAATTTCTTGGAAAAGAAAATTTTATTTTATTTTAGCTTGTATATATTTTATTTTAATGTTTTGTCTTATTATATTGTCTAGAAATTTTAGTACTCTGTTGAATGGTGTTATAAAGGCAGATAGCCTTGCTTAATTCCTGATTGTAGGAATAAAACATTTGCTCTTTCATTATTAAGTATGGTGCTAGATGTACGTTTCTTTTTATATATACCCATTTTCAGATGAGGATGGTCTTTTATTCCTAGTTTGTCTAAAGTTTTCCATGATAAATGGATATTGATCTTTTCCTAAGGCTCTTTCTGCATCTATTGAGATCATCATGTAGTTTTCTTATTTAGTTAGTTAATTTGATATATTAATTTAGTTGATTTTTGAATGTTCAACCATACTTGCATTCCTGGAATAAACACTATTGATTTATATTTTTATATGTTGTTGGATTCAATTACCTAACATTTTATTGTGATTTTGGCATTTATTTTCATGAGGAAAATTGATCTGTACCTTTCTTTTAATATATGTCTGAGTTTGATAGCAAGGTGATATTAACCTCATAAAACAAATTGGGGCATTTTCCTTCTTCTTTTAAATTTGAGGAGAGCTTATGTAAAATTGGCATTATTTCTTCTTTACACATTTGGTAGAATTTTTCAGTGAAACCATCTGGGCTTTGTGTTTTCTTTCTTGGAGTATTTGTACCACAAATATAGTTTTTATATATCAATTAGAACAAAAATAAAATTTTATATATCAAATAAAATAAAAATAAAATTAAATATGAAGTATATTTTTATATAAGTAAAAATAAAATTATATATAGGATTTACATATTTATGTCTTATATATACATAATTTATTGAATGAGTTTGGGAGTTTGTGTCATCATGAAATTTGTTCATTGAATATAATTTGTTGAATTGTTGCTTAAAATATGTCCTTATTATTTCTATAACATCTATAGGGTCTATAGTGATGTCCCTTTTTTCATTCCTTACATTTGCAATCTACCTCTTCTTTCTTTTTTCTTAGTCAATATGGCTAGAGATTTAATTTCATTTCTTAGTCAATATGGCTAGAGATTTAATTTCATTGATCATTTCATTTTGAATCAAAACACACAGAAAGCGACAAAATCCTGCATTTAGAACAATCCACTCTTGTGGAAACTAAGTCTCACCAGGCAGAGAACTCACTACCATGAGAATAGCACCAAGCCAATCAGGAAGAATCTGCCCCATGGTTTAAATGCCTTCCATTAGGCTTCATCTTTCAATATCACTAAACTGGGGTCAAATTTCAAAGTGACTTTTGGTAAGGAAAAGCGAACCATGCTTAAACCAGATCACCTTATGATCTCAGTTCTTGGATATATTCAATGAAAGTTGATTTGTAGATTTTCAGACATATTCTTTGTTGTACAGGTGGAGTGATCCTTCTTCCATCTTTTTACATCCTAAACAGAAATTCTTATGTATTGTTCAAACTTTTATGTATCAAATACCTATTATGTATTAAAAAGGAAACAGAACTCAAATGAGAAATCTAAATCAAAATAAACTCAAATGATACTTCCATGTTATCATGATCATTAATATTGTGTTATATTCTTAGAACACATTTTTAAAAAGGAGTTAAAAAGTCATGATAAATATTTTTAAAAAGCTTTTGTACTTTCTGGTTTATAGTTTCTGAATTTCTAGTTTCTTCATCAACTGCTCTCCTTTGCAGGCCTTACATTTTGGAGTTGTTATTGTTGACACTGTTTTATTCTTTCCTATTTAGTTTATAAAATTTTAAACCATTTTTAGAGCTGTGGCAATATTCAGTAAGGTTTGATGTTTAGTGTTGTCATAATCTTTTCAAATAAAGGGTTATAGCCTTATATAATAAAATACTACAGTGGTAAATGTCTATATATGGGGGTAAATAGTCTTTTATTTGAAATGCAAGTTGAACTTTTCTGTACATGTTTTCTGGAAAGATACCGCAAAGCTGTCCACATTTTCTCAAAGGGCTAGGAAGTACCACAAAGGCACTGTCTTAAGTACATCTTCATTTCAAATACAACTCTTAAGTGTTACTTTTGCTCTTCTTTTGTGATGCAAATGAAATAATAGGCATTAGTGCTTTTAAAAATATATGTCATCTATGGAAAAATAAGAGATATTACCTCTGATTGTAAAGTTACTCCACAGAAATATAGGTAGATCATACCTGGGTACCACTACTGTACATCTGAATACGGCCAAAATCTTTTTTGTTTGTTTGTTTTCAGGATGATTGTTGATTAGGGTAAGTTTCTATTACCAGGATTTTTTTTCTGTTAATTCTAGTGCCCCAAAGAATTGAGGCAGTTCATAGATCAGTACTTCCTCCAGTAATGGATTCTTGGTCCTGGACACTTTTTTTTATTCTGTTTCCTGTGGTTGCTTAGCTGTTGACTAGCTTTCTTTATCTAGCCTTCTTTCTTGGCCTGGCCTCCACTGCTTCCATTTTGGCTTTACTCTTTCTCTCAGGGAAGAGACTCTATGCCCCATAGTGAATCATCACCAGGGAGAAGTCCAACTGTCTGCTTGTGTGGTCATTCATGCCTTTCAGCCTGTTCAGTGAAGCTGAATGTTGATGACAGAGGTTTCCAAATAATGGACAGAATTAAAGAGGAATGCCACCTCCTCTCCAGCAGCACACAATCACTTCTGCTATGGTTTGAAAGATGGTGTCCCCAGTGCAACAGTATTAAGATGTGTGGCCTTCAGGAGGTGAAAAGTTATAAGGGCTCCATTCTCCTGAGTGGGAGCAGCACCCTTATGAAAGGGCTGAAGATTGAAGAGAGTGCTCTCTTGCTCTTCTATCCCTTCTGCCATGTTCCTCCTCTCTGGAACATGTAGCTACAAGGCACCACTTTGGAAGCAGAGAGCTGCCCTCATCAGACACCAGTCTGGTCAGTGCCTTGATCCTGGGCTTCCCATGCTTTAGAATCATGAGGAATAAATTATTATTGTTTATAAAATTACCAGTCTGTTGCATTTTGTTATGGCAGCACAAATAGACAAAGGCAACTTTTTTTCTTTCCTCTTCAATACTACAGTCTTCAAGTGGAGTTTGAAGTAAAGCTGCCCTACTTACTCCCTGTAACAATGAAGTACTAACTTTATTATTTTTTCTTGCTCTCCTGCCTCCCTGGTAGCTGGTAAACTGCTGCTTACCTTTTAGGATGCAAATTAAATCTCCTCATTCCCCTGTTCCAATAGCCTTACAATAAAATCCAGAAGCTTGACCTACATGATCACACCCTAGGACACCTTCCTAACCTCATTATCTTCCAACTGTCCCCTTGCATTCTCTTCCCCAGATATACTGCCTCCTCAGTGTCCGCTGAGAATGCCAAGGAGATGCTTTTGATTCTTGTTCTCCTCTCCTCATGTCCCTGCAAAATCCATTTAGATAACTCTCTTTCTCTCTTTTAGGTTTCTGCTCACACGTCCCTGCTCAGATGTCTCTTATTTCTTTTTCTTTTCTTCCTCCTACTACCTTATTCAGCAATACTTTCCCTTTTAGAGCCTAGTGCTACCTAATACCATCTTACAAATTATTTGTTTTCTAATGTCTTTCTCTCCCATCTAGAACATAAGTTTTATGAGAGGAGAAACCTTGTTTTATTCACTGCCATATCCAGGGAATCTGTGGTAAGTGTGGTGGTACTCATGAAATATTTGTTGGATGGGTAGATCAATAAATATATGAATGGCAGAAAAAGAATTTACATGCAGTGGGTTGATTGGCAATTAGAGAGACGCACTCAATTTGGTGTGACTGTTCCTTTATGCAGCCTAGCACATGCGGCTACCCACTGACCGCCAGCAGTGAGTGGGATTTCATGTGGACTAGCACCTTCCTTTCTCAAGGTGCAACCCTTTCAACATTTTCTTGCCAACTCTGACCCTCTAATTCAGACTCTATGGAGGGTGTCCTGCCTAGATCTCCTCTACTGAGCCTTTGAAAGAAACCTATACATTGTCTACAAGATAAAATCTAGTTAGTCTTTTGCATTCTTCTTCAATCACTTCCTTTTTATTCTATTTAAAGTATAAATAATATATATTCCTGATTTCTACTATTGCTGAAGGTAGTTTTCATATCAACTACTTCTGAGAAGGGAGGTTTGAATGACTAGAACAATTTTTTTCCATTATTCCCAGAAATTTGGCTATGTCATTGTGGCAGGCAGAGTAATGGTCCCCCAGAGATGTCCACTAGCCAATCCCCAGAACCTGTGACTATGTTACTTTATATGACACAGATGATTTTGTAGACGTGATTAAGGATCCTGAAATGAGAAAATTATCCTGGGCCCAGTGTCCTCACAAAGGTCTTTGTAAGTAAAAGAAAGAGGCAGGAGGCACAGAAGGAGATGTGACAATAGAAGCAGAGGTCAAAGTGATGAGAGAACGGAGCTGGGAGCCAAGGAATGTGGGTAGCCCCTGGAAGCTGAAAAAGGCAAATATAACTATTTTCTCCTGAAGCCTCCCTCAATTTTAGCCCAGTGGAACCATTTCAGACTTTTTATCTCCAAGAACTGTAAGACAAATTTTTGTTGTGTTAAGCCACTAAGGGTGCAGCAATTTGTTACACCAGCAATAGGAACCAAATGCAGTCATCTGGTATCTTGCAAATAATACTAGAATATTAACAAAAGGAAACACACTTCCAACTAATTCTTTCCGGAAGGAAAAGAAAATATCCAAGTGTGTGTAGCAGTGTTTTGCCTTTCTATACACCCGTCCCCCCCCTACAATTTGTGCCCTGGTTTCCTACCAGGCTAACAGCCATGCACAGCTCAGTCCACACTTTCTCCTTGATCAATGTCCTTCCAATCCAGCCTACTCTTTGCAAACCCTTATCCCTAGCAATTAATAGGTCGTGTTTTCCACATTCTTCTTCACTAACTTGGGCCCTGATTCCAGTGAACATGGCCCAGGATCTATATGCTTATCATACAATTAGTTTGAATACCAGAAATATGGGTAAATATTCCTGTTACTATATTTCATCTCTCAGATTAAAACACCATTGAATTTCAACTTGTTATTAAATTGAGCCTGGATTTGTCTTATTAGTTTGGTGCAAACTAATTGTGGTTTTTGCCATTACTTTTAATGCAATGAGCCTTAAAACTCACATGATTGAAGTTCTGCTTAGCTCTGCAACCTCATCTGGCTCCACTTTCTCTGTGGTTTTTGTGCCCCAACCGCAGGGCCTCTCTTTCTTTTCCTTCAATATGTTAAGATCGCTCTCCACTCAGGGCCTTTGCTTATGCAGTTTCTTGTGCCTAGAATATCTTCTGCCCTAACCCTTCTGGTTTACCTTTAATACTTCAGCAGTCTCCTGAGGAAAGCCTTCCATTCCATTATTATTCAGAGGACATTAGGCCCTCTGTTACATTCTCTCTCTGCTCTCCATATCTTTCCTCTGAGGCACTGATCCTGGTTGTTATTTACCAATAATTTGGTTTCACTACTTGCCTCCTCCATTTGTTAAAGACAGGCACAGTATCTGTCTTTGCCTTTTATTTGCAGCAATTAGCAGAGGACCTGGCATCTGGAAGCATTACAAAAAATGCAGATGATATGCTCTTTTCTTGTGTCCCCTGTCACTGAAACTTTAAGTTGCTGTGGGCACAATCTAAGTTATGACATTTATTACTAAAAGATAGTACTTTACATTTCTTTTCATCTCAAGGTCTCAGATTCCTCTGTTAAGGATTTCATCATGATATCCCATTATGCTAACCACTAAGCAATGTTCTCTTTTTATAATTATAAATTGAAATGACAGAAGAAAATTGAAGTAGAGGCAAAAATGTCTTTGAAAGATTCACAGGGAGGGAATGACCCAGCTTATATGGATTTAAAATACTTTCAAGTCATTCTTTTCTCTAGGAGTAATTATTTTCTTCTCTATATTTACATAATTAATAAATATATCTTTATCCACATATACATATATATTCCTGCATATATTCTACATATGAAAAATCCTGTATTTCAGTCATGGATTGGAAAGAACACATCTATCATTTCCCCTTGTGTAGGCAATTGTGTCATTCCATAATTGGCTCTAGGTTATGGACTTCTCTGTTTCCTATTATAATACCTTACATGTGTACCATGTTTTTCCTATGCAAAAAGTATTACTTCAAACAGCCTATTTTTTCCTCTTTAAACTCTTGCTTTCTAGAGCTATGTTAAACATTTGGAACTAAGTTGAAAAAACTTTGAGATTAGTTAATTTTAATATCAAGTCATATTTAACTAGATTATGATATCTTTTTTTGTACTACAAGGAATTCTTAAAGGTTATCTTTTACATGAACTTGGCAAATTTGTAAACAATGTCCTTTATAAACACTTTCTAAAAGAATTTCTTACTAGATCTGAAGCCAACTTTGACAGTGATGAACGTAAATTTTCCTTGTCAACTGTTTCATTGCTTAATTTGTCCTATAATTAAAATATGCTCCCTTTTACTTAATCTACCCTTTCTCTACCACACACTCAGCCATTTTTATTTCTCTTATTCAATCTAATAATACTAATTGCTATCTTTTCTCTATATTAGACATTAATGGCAGTTTGGGGTAAATTTTTATCATAATAGCATGTCACTATTCTCCATCCAGCAAAAATTATTCTGAGTTTCCTTTCAATATTGAAATATGGCCCTATAGTTTATCTCGTTCAATTTCATACATAGCTTGAAAAGACTGATTGTATTTTTAATGATTTATGTTTATTCATATTGCAATTTCCTTCATACTCAAGATAATTTATGGCATCCGATTGAAGGGCACCTTCAAGTAGTTATACCTTAGGTGGAATAATGTATATGTTTGCTACTTTTCCAATGAGTTGAGATATGTTTTCATACTCAAATAGAAAGGTCTGAATTCAAATACATTATATTTTTAAAGACAGCTAAGTTTAGTTTATCATATAAAGGATCTCAATAAGGTATATCTTTAATAGTTTTTACCTTTTTTCTCCTTGAGAATGCCACTAATACTTAGTGCTTTGTTCTTAAGATTCAGTCTATTTTTTCTGCAAATGCATTGATATACCCAAATCGAAGTTGGCAAACTGAAATGGAAGAGGGAGAAGTAAAATATCTAGCCTTTATTCCTCCCAAATTCTTCTCAAATATGACAGTATCTCATATATTTGAGACTGTTTTAATGCCTAAACTTGATTTATATTTCTAGCAGTTTCAAGGAATTCTTTCACATTGGCAGTATGATCAAGTATTGCTGGGATGCAGTGTGGTTTTAAAAACTGCAAGTGAAAACCACAAGTCCCTAGAAAAATAATTCTGGAATTTAACAGAACCACAGTTGGGGAATTCATTCATAAAATTCTCATTAATTCCAATAGAAGTTATTTTAAGAGGTGTTGACCAGTAGTATATTCTCTTTCTAATCACTGTTGGTCACCATTAATATTGATCCTCTAACCACATAAGTTACTAGGTTGGTGCAAAAGTAATAGTGCTCTTTGCACCAACCTAATACAAGCATTTGGTTCCAACTGGTATTAACCACACATATCAAAAAAGAAATGGATAAACTGCATAAGTCAGTGATTTCTAAATGACATTTATGTACAAATTCTATTAATTTCACTAGTAATCAAACATATTTTTCTTTTTTTTTCCTCCCTAGACATGGGAGTCTACTTCTTCTTAAGTGAACCTCCAGCAGTGCCCCCCAAAAAGCTGTTTTGTAAAGAATCAAGGATTACCTTCCAGCACTGTCTATGTTAACTGTCATCGCTCCAGTCTTCTGCTCTCCACTCATCCCTCTTAACACCAGCAGGAGAGGAGCTGACTTCCTGTCCTTGGGGCTGCCCGGTGGCACAGACCCAGGCCTCTAACTTCCCTGGCTTTTCACTAATTCCTCCATCTGCTGGTGCCTAAATTTTGTGATGGGATCAGAAGAAAGTATAAATGACCTTCTAATGGGTATAAATTTTATTTCCAATTTAATTTGAAATTTTTTATTTAATTAATATGAAGAATAAAATAGATTTCAAAATTTCAAGCAAAAGTGTCTAATTTTTGAGGTTTATAAGAAAAGTCATTTATACATAAAAAAGTGAGGAGGAAATTCATTCTATGAATTCTGTCCTACACTCGGATATTTCAGTGTAGGCTGCAGGTCTTCCTGAACTTCTCGCTAATCTGATTTTGTGTTGAAAACTATTAGAGGGAGTTTGGTGAGGAAAAGCATTTTTACAGGTAGTTCTGTGTCCATTTCTTTTGAATACCCCTCAGCACAGAGCAAGAAGCTCTGTAACATGCATTAGCACTAGTTGAAGGGTTTATTACCTGTATATTGGACTCTATGAAACTTTAGAGAAGAGAGTTTTTGAGAATATTTTATTGAATGTCCTCTAAATTTACAGTCAGCATCTTTTAATTGATGTTTACTTTGGTTTATGGCTTTCTCAAAGTTTCATTGCAGAGAAAGGATTATGAGTATGTTTAGTTGTAAACATGACAAGTATAGACTTTCTGAATTCAGAAAAGTGTGGAAGTAATAGGCCAATAAATTACTGCTAAGTAGCTGGGTTTAAAAAAAAACAAACACAAACAAAACTAAACACTGCATTGCAGATTCCTACTGTGAGCTTTTCTTTTTTGTTTTTTTTCTTTTTTGGATAATATATGTGCAATCATTCTCCCCAGAACTATCACAGCTTGAATTGAAATAATCGCTCTAATTTGTATGGCAAAAGAAAAAAATAACACCCTCGTTTGTGCTGATAAAATGCAACCTGTGGCAACTCCAATCCTGTGGTTTTAACGTGATTCAGAAAGCTGTCTGCAATAAAGGAATGTATTAGAGTTACTAAAAGCTGATACCATTTTGTTTTTTGTAAAGTTTTGGAACAATTTGGCTGATGGGGGAAAATGTGCTTTAGATTTTCTGATAAGTGATTTTCCATTCAACAAAATTTATTTCCATATCCAGAAACATTATTTTGTGAAGCCTTCTCAATCCATGGGGTACCAATGGGCTTCTAGTATTATGTGCTGGATGTAATTGCAGTTTGCACAAACCTCTTACAAACGGCAACTAAAAGTTGTCAAAAGATAGGAAATAAAGGGGCTGGTTGGTTTGACTAGAATAAAATATTTCTAGGGAATTGATTTCACTTTAGACTGTTTCAAAGGACACTGTAAGAACAGAAACCATGAAAATGTTTTATTTACCTGGCACTAATGTACACAGAAAACAACCTGAGACAAGAGGTTACACAAATTGGGGATTTCAAGTTGTCAGAGGAGTTGGAAGTGCCTTACCCCTTGTTATCCTCCCAGAACCTCTGGAGGTCAGGTAGCGTACTTTTGACTTTCAGGGCTCTGAAAAGTCAAATGGTTCTAATCATCTTCTGGAGAAGTTCTGTCCTGGCAACTCCATTTAAATAATTTACATTTCCACTTTTCCTCCCACTGGTTCACTACATCCCTCTAAAATTTCCCCACACATCTAATCTCTTTATAGCATTGCGTGAATGAATTACTTTAATGCATATTGTTGTTTCTCTGTCTAGCCCATTAGAATGTAAGTGCCACAGGACAGGGATATTTGTCTTTTTGCTCCCTGGTGCTGAAATCAGTAATTTGTGGTACTCAATAAATAGTCCTTAGGTGACTGGGTAGTTTCTATAGCCACAGACCAGTAAAGCCGCAGTGTTTTAATGGGTTTGTAGTACTCAGGAGTCCTTGGGAAACGAACCAGCAGTGGATTTGGGGTGGAAAAGGAAACCTTGAGTGATAGATTTATTCAATTCCTCTGCCAGAGAGACAAGATGGCCCACGAATAATGGTGGCCCCCAGCTTGGTCCAGACACCCAGAAGATCCCCAAGTGGATCAAACCACCGCCCCTCTCTGCAAGGCGTCTTCTGATCTCCCATACAAGGTAAGTCAGGGGACAGCCCCTTCTGGTAGAAGGGAGAATCTCTGATCTTATGAACTCATTGCTCTGTGAGCCATTCTAGCAAAATATTGAAGTTAAGGAGGGGTTCATGGGAACCCCTGACTTGTAGCCAAGTTGGACAGAAATCTGGGTAACATAAGGACCCACTACTTGTGTTGAGTGTCTGAAGTGGGGGACAGTTTTGTGGGACTGATCTCTTTACCTATGGGGTCTGCATTAACTTCAGGTAGTTAGTATCATAACTGAATTTAAGATACCCAGTTGGTGTTTGGAGAATTGGAGAATTAGTCGGTGTGGGAAACACACACTCATATCACACACAGACCCGCATACCGCACACATGAGGTTTTACACATTTGACATTGGAGTGAAGTGCTGAGTGTGGTAAACAGGTTGTTTTTTCTACACAACCTTCAAGACTCCAATTTATGTATGTTAGATCTTTTGTTTTTCACCATTTTGTTCCTCTGTGCTTCGTTCTAGAACTTAGGTGAGGAAAAATTATCTAGGTTACCTGGATCACACTTTGAAAACTGCTTCCCTATGGTGCCACTCTTCAAAATTTCAACCCGTTCTCCCTTCTTAATGGGCTCCAAGTCTGGATTGTTTTTCTTCTTAGCAGCGTGAGTCATTAGAACACATTTTTCACTTTCTCAGTCTCTCTGAGCCTCCCCTAAATGAGCAGATTCTGCCAGGAAATACGTAAAAAACAGGGTTCAGATCTCTGAATTTTCTTTTTCCTGGGAGTCTCAAATATATAATTCTTCACCATCTCTTTGACTTTACGTTGCCTTAATATACATACTTAAAATACTTTCTTCAGCTTTCTCAGTTGTTCTTTTGGGAAAGGTTGTTCAAACCCTTGTGCCACTTATAACTGACAACAGATCTCTCTCCATTTTACATTGGACAAAGTTTTAGCTGTTATCTTCAATGCAAAAATAATCAGAAAGTTAAAATGTGATTATTGTTAAAATATTCTAATTAGCCGGGCATGGTAGTGCGTGCCTGTAGTCCCAGCTACTCCAGAGGCTGAGGCAGGAGAATCCTTTGAACCTGGGAGGCGCAGGTTGTGGTGAGCAGAGATTGTGCCACTGCACTCCAGCCTGGGCAACAAAGTGAGACTCTGTCTCAAAAAAATCTATATATATTCTATTTAGTCTTTTAAATATGCATAACTTTACATACATAGGGAATTTTCATTATGGACGTTTGTGTAATGAAGGGTGCACATCATAACCATGGTTAAATTTGTTAGTAAATAAAAAGCCATAGGTTTTTAAAAATTTTTGTATTTAGATATTTTTATTTCTCCAAATTTGTTGTTTATCAGTAGTGGCTGAAATAAGAAATATAATTGAGTCCCATCATCGTCATCATCATGAAAATGGCTTTAAGAGAAAACTGGTCAGATGAATATTATTGTTTCCCATTTTCTACCAACAAACAGTTGCCATTCATGAATTGACAGCCAGGAGTCTGTCAAGAATGCTCAAGATATGTTATATAATACAACATGCCTGTTCACAGGGGGAAAAACACCCAGGAAATAACTTACCTGTACTTCTTGATTTCATCAAACAAGACAAGCACAAAAGCACCACCCATGCCTCTGAGAACACTGGACCATGAACCCTTGAAAAAAGCTTTGCCTCCTTCATCACCAGCAATCTTCCTCCAGCAGTCAAGTGTGCCTGTGTACATGATGTCAGTTACTTTGCGCCCTGACTGAATCATCACGAGAGGCGAACGATGTCAAATGAATAGGAAGTCAACCCAGAAAAGGCAGTGACAGTCTGTGTGGTCATCCAGCTGATGACGATGTGAGTGTCCTTGGGATCCGGAAGCATTCCCTTTGCGGTGTCATAGATACCGAAGTAGGCAGCTCGGATAATACCCTGCATAGACACGTTAAAGCCTTGGTACAGGCCCTTAATCCCATCAGATTTGTAGATCTTAACCAGGCAGTCACAGAGGCCTCGGAATTCCCTTTCAGCTTCAGCTTTACCCACATTAGCTGCTAGACAGGTACGGGCAAAATCAAGAGGGTACACAAAACACAAGTATGTGGCCCCAGCGGCACCTCCTGATGCCAGATTCCCTGCAAAGTAGCGCCCAAACTGAGTCTTTTGTCCACACCACCCAGGAAGATCTGCTTGTATTTATCTTTGAAGGCGAAGTTAAAAGCCTGGGTGGGGAAGTATCTGATGGCATTGGCCAGGTTACCGCGCCAGGACAGGACTCCCTGCTTCTTGGGAATACGACCACGCAGTCTATAATGCCCTTGTATTGCTTAGCTGAGGTGATCTGCTTGCTGGCATGCTGCACCTGCAGCAGCAGCTTGACCTGCTCGATGGGCGCTACCGCTGTCTTGGAGATGGCTTCGGCCACTCCACCTGCCAGGAAGTCCTTGGCGAAGGACACAGCGGCATCTGTCATGTTGAAAGGAAAGAGGAGGCAGGCTGTTGCGGGACGGGATCAGGCCGGGAACCGGCTTTGACTCCGGGGCTGCCTAGGTTTTTTTATTAAGCAATTCCTAGGATTCCCCTCCCGCTGTGAAAAACACTCCAAACTCTTGAATTTTAACATTTTAAAAGATGGCGTAGGGTTTGCGGGAATGTGCAGAGATGCTTTCCTTTTCTGTTTGAATAAACGTCTGTACCTTCTCACAGGTCCTAAGAAAAGGAGACCGTGTCAAATACACCAGGCGGAGTTACTCAGAGGTGTGTTTTTGTCTTTCTCTAGCTAAGGAGTGCTTTCACTTCCTCAGGTCTTAGACGCCACTGAGACTCTGATAGAAACATCTGAGTTGTCTTCCTTAAAAAGGAAAGAGAGAGAGAGGGAGAAAGAGAGAGAGAGAGAGAGAGAGAGAGAGAGAGAGAGAGAACCAAAAGATGAGCACAGTTTCAGGTATTCCGAAGACAAAGCCTATTCATGGACCCCAAGGTAAAACTTCTGATCTGGTTGGAATAGTCTGGAGACTGTTCCGTCCGGATCCAGTTGTGAATGTGCCACCCACATGCCCCGTGTATCTACGTGTTAGAAGGCAATGCTTGAAATTCCTTCCACTTGCTGCTGTAAACCCAGCTAAATCCCCTGAAATCAGCTCATCAGAAACTCACTTTCATAATCAGAAAAGAAGAACATGGAGGGGCAAAACACATGCCTGAGAGTAGTTATTTTCATGTAAGATGATGCTTAGTAACATCTATTTTTAAAATTATATATACACATATTTAAAACTGAAATTATATAATTTATTAAAAACATGCTTGAAAGTTCACCCCCAAGACTTTTGTTGTTGCTGTTCTGTATGATCTTACATCACCACTACTCCATACCACTTTATATGATTAACACTTA
Source organism: Homo sapiens (assembly GCF_000001405.40). Lineage (NCBI taxonomy): Eukaryota > Metazoa > Chordata > Mammalia > Primates > Hominidae > Homo > Homo sapiens. The sequence continues at coordinate 412,754 of NW_025791781.1, read as the reverse complement.
TATATATAGAGAACATATACATATGTTCTCTATATATGTATATGTTTAAGAAACATGTATATATGTTTCTTAAAGGCTAAATTTAAGAAAATGTTTTTAAGCATTCCTTTATCTCATTATTTTGCACATTCATTTGAAAATGTTTTCCTGCTGAGAAGCAACATAAAATAGAAAATTTCTATGTATAACAAAGAAGGTATTTTGTGTTTATATTTTATATTTCTATCATAGTGCATAAAAAATCAGGAAAGTGATGCCCTAACATAGTTTACATTTTATTAATTTTTGTTATTTTTAGTTTTTTTAAACAACTAAAAGGCTTTCATTCTAAGCTGACAAAAAATTGCCTATTTGATTATGGAGTAGCTGAAATACAGCAAATCCTTATTAATTTAGAGTCTATTAGTAAAGTATTTGAGATAATTTGAAAAGGAAGAATGCTATTTATGCAATTTAGAGATAAACCATGTTGGCAAGTGAGTTAGGTGTAAATAAGATTTTATAAGGGGTATTTGCTATTCTAAGAGAAGGAATTTTCAGTCACATTAACATCAATTTGGTGAGTCAACTCTGAAACCCGTTTTTTTTTTCTGTACCTTAGTGTAGATCCAGTGGGTCCTCTGTGCTGCTGAACATTATTAGCATAGTTCATTATGCCATTCACATGTAAGAGAATGGCTCTTCTATTTAGTATTCTAGAATTTATTCTATGCTTCATATAGAGAACTCACCATGCTCCTGTTAATCTAAATGAGTGTGGAAATCAGTATGAATTGGGTGATGGTGTCTATAACATTACACCTAATGCTAAAAACAACAACAAAGGCCAAAATGATCAGGTAGACCATACAAAATAGTATGTTTGCAGTTATTTTTCATCACATGAAAACCAAGATCAACTAAAATCATTAGCTGATCTGATTAGGTAACAAAAATAATGTATCTCAGATATATTTACTTATATGAATGAGGGAAGCAAAACAAGTGAACAGTGAGGTTCAAAAATGAACCTCACTGTCAAACAGAGTTGAGGTTTGAGGCCTGCAGGGTCCTCTGGGATTCCTTTTAAGCCATTATTAAGGATTTAAAAATCTTACTGATTTCATGTCCAATATGTAATCAATTGACTATATAAAAATACATGGATCATTGAAGTTTCTAGCAAATGCAAAAGACAAGTAAAAATAAAATCTAAGCAAATTAAGAATAGTAAAGGAAAAAATAAGGTATTTATAAAATAATAGAATTGTCCACAAAGAAAATCTTAATATAGGAAAAAAGTATTAAGACTAATCATAGTGTTTTTAGCAGTTTTAGTTGGATAAAAGGTGTTTATATTTTATCTGTACCTTTTAGAGAAAGAAGTGTTTCTCTTTTTTTTCAGCTTTATTGAGGTTTTACAAATAAAACTTTATATGTTGAAGTGATGTTTGAGATGCATATACATTGTGAAATGAGTACAATTAAGCTAATTAACATATTCATTACCTGACATAGTTACCCTTTTTCGTGTAGTGAGAACATTTAAAAATCTACTTTCAGCAAATTTCGAGTATACAATACTGTATTGTTAACTATAGTCATCATGGTATGCAGTAGCTCTCCAGAACGTATTCATCCTGCTTAACTACACTTTTGTACCCTTTGACTAATATCACCCTATTTTTCCCACCAGTCTCAGTCCCTGGCAACCACCATTCTACTCTCTGCTTCCATGAGTTCTGCTTTTTTAGATTCCACATTTGAGTATTTGTCTTTCTGTGCCTGGCTTATTTCACTTAACATAAAGTACTCCAGCTTTATCCCTGTTGCTCAAATAATAGGATATCCTGCTTTTTAAAGACTAAATAATTTTCCTGTATATATATATATATATATATATAAATATATTATATTTAATAGTCTATGACTATTATATAGACTAGACTATATATGTATAAAATAGTCTAATAGTCTGTATATAATAATATATATGGTATTATGTATATATAATAGTGTATGTACATAACATTATCTGTCCATGGACACTTAGGTTGATTCCATCTCTTGGCTATTGTAAAGAATGCTGCAGTAGACATGGGAATAGGATACATTAATGACACATCGATTTCATTTCCTCTGGATATATACCCAGAAACCAAATTGCTGGATCTTATAGTAATTCTATTTTTAATTTTTTGCAGAATCTCCGTGCTGTTTTCCATAATGACTCAACTAGCTTACGTTTCCACTAACCATGTACAAGTGTTTGTTTTCCACATCCTCACCAATACTTGTTTTTTTATTTTTAAAATTTTTGATAACAGCCATTCTAGCAGGTGGGAGGTGATATCTCATTGTGGTTCTGATTTCCATTTTTCTGCTAATTAGTAATGTTGAGCATTTTTCTGTATACTTGGTGGCCATTTGTATGCCTTCTTTGTAGAAATGTCTATTCAGGTACTTTGCACATTTTTAATTGGGTTATTTGTTTTCATGCTATAAAGTTGTTTGAGTTTCTTATGTATTTTGGATATAAACCCCTCATCAGTCACATGATTTGCAAATATTCTGTCTCATTATTTAGGTTGTCTCTACACTCTGTTGATTGTTTCCTTTGCTGTGTAGCAGAAGCTTGTTAGTTTGATGTCATACCACTTCTTTATTTTTGCTTTTGTTTCCTGTGCTTTTGGGGTCATATCAAAAAAAATTGCCCAGACCAATGTCATAGAGCTTTCTCTCTGTTTTCTTCTAGTAGTTTTACAGTTTCAGGTCTTACATATGTCTTTAATCCATTTTGAGTTTATTTTTGTATATCGTGTGAGACAAGGTCTAATTTCATTGCTCTGTGTGTGAATATCCAGTTTTCCCAGAACGACTTATTGAAAAGGCTGTCCTTTACCCATTGTATGTTCTTGGTGTCTTTGCTGCAAATCAATTGACTGTAAATGTGTGGATTTATTTATTGGCTACCTATTCTGTTCCATTGGTCTATATGACTGTTTTTATACAAGTACCATGCTGTTTTGATTACTATAGCTTTGTAGTAGATCTTGAAATCAGGTAAAGCAGTGCCTCCAGCTTTGTTCTTTTTGCTCAAGATTGCTTTAGCTATTCAGGGTCTTTTATGGTTCTATATAAATTTTAGGATTTTTTCTATGTCAGTGAAAAATATTGGAAATGTTATAGGAATTCTACTGAATCTGTGGATTGCCTTGGGTAATATGAACATTTCAATAATATTAATTTTTCCAATTAATGAGCACAGAATATCTTTCTATTTGTGTCTTCTTCAATTTCTTTCATCAATATTCTATAATGTTTAGTATACAGACTTTTCACCTCCTGAGTTAAATTTATTCCTAAATATTTTATTCCTTTTGTTGCTATTATAAATGTGATTGATTTGTTGGCTTTTTTATATAATAGTTTTTTTTGTTAGTATATAAAAATGCTACTGGTTTTTATATATAGATTTTGTACCTTGCAACTTCACTGAAATCATTTGTTACTTCTAACAGTTTTTTAGTGGAATTCTAAGGTTTTGTATATCTGTAAAATTATGTCATTTGCAAACAAAAACAGTTCACTTCTTCTTTTCTATTTTGTATGCCTTTTATTTCTTTTTCTTGCCTAAATGCTCTTGCTCGGATTTCTAGTACTGTATTGAATAGAAGTGGCAGGAGTGAGCATCTTTGCCTTGCTCCAGATATATATATATATATTTTTTGAGACAAAGTCCTGCTCTGTCACCCAGGCTGGAGTGCAGTGGCACAATCTCAGCTCACTGCAACCTCCGCCTCCCAGGTTCAAGTCATTCTCCAGCCTCAGCCTCCCAAGTAGCTGGGACTACAGGTGCATGCCACCGCGCCTGGCTAATTTTTTGTATTTGTAGTAGAGACAGGGTTTCACCGTGTTAACCAAGGTGGTCTCGATCTCCTGACCTTGTGATCCGCCCTCCTCAGCCTCCCAAAGTTCTGGGATTACAGGCGTGAGCCACTGCGCCCAGCTGTCTTGCTCCAGATTTACAGAAAAAACTTTCAGCTTCCCACCATTGAGTATACTAGTTCTGGGTTTGTCACATATGGCCTCTGTTACAATGAGGTAAATACCTTATATACTTAATTTGTTGGGAGTTTTTACCATAGAAGATACTTGAATTTTGTGATGGCTTTTCTGAATCTATTGAGATGGTAATAGGATCTTTATCCTTTATTTTGTTAATATGATGTACCACATTTATTGATTTGTGTATGTTGAATCATTCTTGCATCCCAGATAGAAACATCGTGTATGATCCTTTACTGCACTGTTGAATTCAGTTTGCTAGTATTTTGTTGAGAATTCTTGCATGTATCTTTATCTGGGATATTGGCCTGAAATTTTCTTTTCTTGTAGTATCCTTGTCTGGCTTTGGTATTGGGGTAATTATGGTCATGTAAAATGAGTTTGGAAGTGTTCCTTTGTCTTCAATATTTTGGAAGAGTTTGAGAAGAATTGGCATTTATTCAAGTGTTTGGTAGGATTCACCAGTAGGCCATCATGTCCTGAGCTTTTCTTTGTTGGGAGATTATTGATTACTGATTCAATGTCCCTACTTATTATCGATCTGTTCACATTCTCTCTTTCTTCAGAATTTAGTTTTTGTGAGTTGTATGCATCTATGAATTTATCCATTTCTTCTAGGTTATCAAATTTTTGGGTGTATAATTGTTCATAATAGTTTCTTATAATCCTCTGTCCTTCTGTGATATCAGTTGTAATGTCTCCTCTTTCATTTTACTTATTTGGATCTTCTCTGGGATTTTTTTTTTGTAAGTCTAGCTAAAGATTTGTCTATTTTATTTATCTTTTCAAAGAAACACCTCTTAGTTTAATTGGTCTTTTCTATTATTTTACTAGTTTCTCTTTTATTTATTTCTGCTCTAATCTTTATTTTTTTTTCTTTTTCTGATTTTGGGCTTAGGCTGTTCTTCATTTCTGTTTTCTTGAAGTGTAAAGTTTAGTTGTTTCTTTGAGATCTTTTTTTCTTCTTAATGTAGGTGTGTATTGCTTTATATTTACCTTTTAGAACTGCTTTGCTATATTTCATAATCTTTGGTATGTTGTATCTACATATTCATTTGTGTGAAGATATTTTTGATTGATTTTCCTTTTGATTTCTTCTTTCAGTCATTTGTTTTTCAGGTGTCTGTTTTATTTCCACCTATTTGTGCATTTTTCAGTTTTTCTGTTGTCATTAAGTTCTAATTTAATACTATTGTGGTCAGAAAAGATACTCGATATTATTTAAATCTTCTTAAATTTCTAAGATTTGCTTTGTGGCCTAATGTATATTCTATCCTGGAGAATGTTCAATGTGAGTTGAAAAGAATGTGTATTCTTCTGTTTCTGGGTAGAATGTTCTGTATATGTCTATTAGACTTACTTGGTGTAAAGTGTAGTTCAAATTCAAAGTTTCCTTATTGACTATCTATCTGAATAATTTATTTGTTGTTGAAAGTAGGGCATTGTATTTCCCTAGTGTTATTGCATTGCTATTTCTCCCTTCAGTTCTGTTAATATGAACTTTATATATTTAGGCACTCTGATGTTGGGTGCATATATATTTACAATTGCTATATACACTTGATGAATTGATCACTTTATTATTGTATAATAATTTTCTTTGTCTCTTTTTACAGCTTTGACTTATAACCATAAATGCCTACATTAAGAAAAAAAGAAAAATCTCAAATAAACAATCTAACTGTACACCTCAAGGAAGTAGAAACTAAGTCAGAAAAAGGAAGGAACTGATAAAGATTGGAGCCAAAATGAATAAAATAGGGATTAGTAAAACAATAGAAAATATTTAAGTATAGCTACACCTGCCATCATTTTCCTTTCATTTGCATATTTTTCCCATCACTTCAGTTTCAGCCTATATGTGTCCTTAAAGCTAAGTGACTATTATGTAGGCAGCATATAGTTGGATCTTGTGTTTTTATTCATTCAGTTATCTATGTCTTTTGATTGAATAATTTAATTCATTTACATTTAAAATAATTATTTCAAATGATTACTTTATTATTTAAGGACTTACTACTGCCATTTTAATAGTTTTCTTACTATTTTATAGTTCCTTTGTTCCTTTCTTTCTCATTTGCTTTTTCCCTTTATGATTTGATTTTTTTTGTAGTGCTAGTTATTTTTGTATATCTACTATAGGTTTTGGGATGTTTTTGTGATTATCATCAGGCTTACATAAAGCATCTTATAGTTATGAGTTTATTTGAATCTGATAACAACTTAACTTCATCACAATGAAAACGCTAAACATCGACTTTTCTTCCCAACATATTATGGTATCAGTTTCATAATTTACACTCTTTATATATTGTGTATCCATTAACAAATTATTATAGCTATATTCATTTTTAATACTTTTGTCTTTCAATTATCATTCTAGAGTTACAAGTGATTTATGAAACACCATTACAGTATTAGAGAATTCTAAATTTGACTACATTCTTACCTTTACATTAAGCTTTTCACATTCCTATACTCTCTTTACCTTTTCTCATTAGGCAGGTTCACTGGTGATGAACTCCCACAGTTTTGTCTGGGTAAGTCCTTATTTCTCCATTTGTGAAGAACATCTTTGCTGACTGTAGTATTGTTGTTTGGTAAGTTTGCTTTTTGTTCTTTTAGCACTTTGAGTATGTCATTCCACTTTCTGTTGTCTCCTGGCCTATACATTTCTGCTGATAAATCTGTTGATAGCCTTATAAAGGTTTGCTTGAATTAATTAGTTTCTTTTCTCTTATAAGTTTCAAAATTCTCTCTTTGTCTTTGACTTAAGAATTTGATTATAAAATGTCTCAGATCTCTTTAACCAAGATTGTCTAACCCATGGCCCTTGAATTACATATGACCCGGGATGGCTTTGAATGTGGTCCAATACAAATTTGTAAGCTTTTTATAAACATTATGAGCTTTTTTGTGATTTTTTTTTTTTTTAGCTCATCAGCTATTGTTAGTGTTAGTGCATTTTATGTATGGCTCAAGACAATTCTTCTTCCAATGTGGCCCAGGGAAGTCAAAAGATTGGACATCCATGTCTTTATCTTTATTTGGGATTCTTTGAACTTTATGGATTTTGATGTTCATTTCCCTCTCCAGATTTGGGAAGTTTTTTGTCATTATTTCTTTAAATAAACTTTCTTCCCTTTTCTCTTTTTTAGTTCCACCAGGACTCCTGTAATGCATATGTTTGCCCCCTTGATGGTGTCCCATACATAAGTCTTGTACCCTTTCTTTACCTGTTTTCATTATTTTTTCTTTATGTTCCTCTGACTGGGTAATCTCAAATGACCTTTGTTTGAGCCCACTGATTTTTTTCTTCTGTTTGATTAAGTCTGCTATCAAAGTTCTCCATGGAACTTTTTAGATCAGTCATTGTGGTTTTTAGCTCCAGAATTTTGGTTTGGTTCTTTTTATGATTTACATCTCTTGGTTGAACTTCTAATTTTGTTTGTATATTGTTTTTATGATATCTTTTATTGTCTATCTCTGTTTTGTTATAACTCACTGAGATTCTTTAAAATAAGCTTTTAAAATTCTTTTTAGGCAATTCATAGACTTTCATTTCTTTAGGATCTGTCACTGGTGCTTCCATTTCTTTATGGTCTGTTACTGGTGCTCCCTGTTAGTGGTGTCATGTTTCCCAACTATTTGTGTAACTTATGACTATGTATTGGTGTCTATGCATTTGAAGGAGACATCTATTTCAGTTTTTACAGACTAGCTTCTGCAGTGAAAGCCCTCTACCAGTTAGTTTATCCAGAGATTACGGGCAGGTAATCTGGTGAGCTGTGTCAGCTGACTTGTTTCTGGAAAACTTTGTGTAGCCTGGTTTAGTGCCTAGGCCAGGCTGGGTCCAGAGGGGTTACTCTGGTTCCTGGTTCCAGAGGGGCCAGGCAGAATTTAGAGTCCATGGTGCTGGCATCTGGGGCCACAAGGTTGGCCTGCAGCTTGGGTTTGCAGAATTGACTTGAATGTTTGGTCTTTAGGTGTTGGCCTAAGACAGTCCCCTGAGGAATAGTCTGAGATCTGGGGCCTTGGTCAGGAATAGTCTGACCATGCTGGGGTTGACCTGGAGGCTGGGTCTGTAGAGATTGACCTGGTTCTTCGGTAATGGGAACATGCCTGGAGCCTGTATCCATAGGAGTAATCTTGAAGCCTGCATCCTTGGAGGCTGGTCCAGTACCATGGTCTACTGAGTTGGCATTGAACCCTGGGTCTGCTGGAGTGGGCCTGGACCCTGGCTTTCCTGGAGGATGGAGCAGCAGATGCCTGCTTGGTGTCTGGGACCACAAAAGGCAGCCTGGTCTATGGGTGCTGACCTGGGTCTGGGGTGGGCCTGGAGGCTGAGTCTGTGGATGCTGTCCTGCAAACTGTGGCTCACTGTGTGGTGGTGCAGACCTGGATCCTGGGGCTGCGGCAATGAGCCTGGTGCTGTGGCAAGCCTGGAGGCTAGATCTGTGGAGTACTAACCTAGCACAGGGGCCTGTTTCGAGCCCCAGGCATGTCTAGAACCTGAGGCTGTGGAGGCCATTCTGGAACCTGGAGCGTTGGTGTTTGATCTGGGGTCAGATGTTACTGGGGCTTGCATCTACAGCAAAGCTGGGTTCTCACTTTACTTGCTTTTGACCACATGGATATTATCTCTATTTGCACTGCCCTCTTCAATGTGTCTTTTCTGTGCTATACCTAGGTGCTGTAATCTCTTACCTGGATTTCTTAGCTCTTATGAAGCTATTTCTGTGCATGTACAGTTATTCAAATTGACATTTCTGTAGCGGGACAAGCCCTGGAAAGTCCTATTTCACAATGTTTCTGGTATCAATCTTACAAAGAGTTTTTAGATACTATACTAAAGTAACAACCCATGAAGGAAAAAATGTAAAATTGGCCTTTATGAAAACTTTAAAAAATGTTCTGTGCTGAAAACCTTGTTAAGAACTTAAAAAGACAAGATTCAGATTGACAGAAAAGTTTGCAAATCAAATTACTGACCTCAAATAATTGTGTCCAGAATATATAAAGAACTTCTGACACTCAACAATAGGTAAATAGATAAACAATAGGTAAATTGAGCAATTTTGAAAATGGCAGAAGATCTAAACAAACACTTCCCCCCAAAATATACAAATGAAAATTTGGCATATTAAAAGATATCCAACATTATTATTCATCGGGGAAATGTAAATTAAACCTCAATGAGATACCACTATAAACCTACTAAAATGGTTACAGTTGTAAAAAGCAATAACAATACCAAGCATTAGTGACTATACTGAGCAATTGAAAATATTTTTGTTCAGTGATTGTAGGAAAACAAAATGGTACACACACCATGGAAAATAGTTTGGTAATTTATTATCAAGTTAAATATATGTACTATATGTTCCAATGCCCATGGCTTCCACAAGCTTGCTGGCCAACTGTTGATCAGAACACTCCTTAGTGGTAAATGAAGAATTAGTACTAAAGTCAACTATGAGATAATGAAATTTATCTTGAGATTGGCATATGATGATTGAATGTTACCAGGTCTTGACACCTCCTGATATTGCATCTTTAGATACGTTATTTAACCTTATTGAGTCTATCTGTGATTCATGGGTTAAATGGAGACGTACCAGTCTTGCAATCATACACTAGTATGAATACTTTAAAGTTGTTAAATATTCTCTACTTTACAAGATAGATAAGTTTATGGAATGTTATTATGATCATTATCATAATCACTATCATCTGTGTTTCCTCATTACCAATCTGAAACTCTTCAAACACATTGTCCCTTAAGAATAGACTGGAAGTTTTCAAGGATATTGTAAAAAGATGTCATATTCTTCCTTTTGGCCACAGGGTGGTCTTTTTCCTTACAGAACACAGATGTCACAAGGACAAGAGCATGAACCAGGGCTGAGTATTAATACGAATAACTTTCTCTTTTATCTGTATAACCAAAACATCTTTTCACCCCGTAATTATAGCTACCCACTTAATTTTTGCAAACAGATGAGAGTACATTGGGTTAAGCCAGTAGTGTATTTTCAATCTTTACCTCTTCCATTTCTATATCGATTCTGTTATAGGAGTTAATAATGAGAAATTACAAATACAGTTGCTGGTAGATAAGCCCACAAAGTTTAGAAAAAATTGATACAAAAACACTGAAAACTCAAAAAGCCAGTGTGCCTCTTCTCCTCCAAAAGCACAGAACTAGGCTAAGGCTGAGATGGCTGAACTGATAGACATAAGCTTCAGAAGGTAGGTAGTAATGAACTTTGCTGAGCTAGAGGAGCATGTTGTAACCTGATGCAAAGAAGCTAAGAATCAAGATAAAACAATACAGGAGCTGATAGGCAGAATAGCTAGTATAGAGAGGGACATAATTGACCTGATGGAGCTGAAAAATGCAATATGAGGACCTCACAGTGCAATCACAAGTATCAGTAGAAGAGTAGACCAAGCGGAGGAAAGAATCTCCAAGTGTGAAGACTCTCTTTCTGAAATAAGACAAGCAAACAAGAATAAAGAAAAAATGAAATGGATTGAACAAAACCTCTGAGAAATATGGGATTATGTAAAGAGACCAAACCTATCACTGATTGGGGTATCTGAAAGAGATTGGGAGAACAGAACCAAGTTGGGAAATATACTCCAGGATATCATCCAGGAGAACTCTCCCAACTTAGGAAGATGAGCCAACATTCAAATTCATGAAATGCAGAGAACCCCAATAAAATACTCCAGAAGAAAATCAACCACAAGGTATATAATTATCAGATTCTTCAAGGTTGAAATGAAAAAAAAAGATGTTAAAGTCAGCCAGAAAGAAAGACCTGGTCACCTACAAAGAGAAACCCATCAGACTAACAGCAGACCTCTCAGTGGAAACCCTACAACCCAGAAGAAATTGAGGGCCAATATTCAACATTCTTAAAGAAAAGAATTTCCCACCCAGAATTTCATATCTGGCCAAACTAAGCTTCATAAGTGAAGGAGAAATAAGATCCTTTTCAGACAAGTAAATGCTTAGAGAATTCATTACCAACAGGCCTGCCTTGCAAGAGCTCCTGAAGGAAGCACTAAATATGGAAAGGGAAAAAACATTACCAGCCACTACAAAAACACACCAAAATACACAGACAAGTAACACTATGAAACAACCACATAAACAAGTCTGCAAAATAACCAGTTAGCATCATGATTGCAGGATCAAATTCATACATAACAATACTAACCTTAAATTTAAGTGAGCTAAATGCCCCAATTAAAAGGCATGGAATGGCAAACTGGATAAAGAGCCAAAATCCATAGGTATGCTGTCTTCAAAAGGCCCATCTCACATGCAAAGACACATATAGGCTCGAAATAAAGGGTTGGAGGGAAATTTACCAAGCAAATGGAAAACACAACAAAGCAAGGCTTGCAATCCTAGTTTCTGACACAACAGACTTTAACCTAACAATGATCAAAAAAGACAAAGAAGGGCATTACATAATGGTAAAGGGTTCAATTTAATAAGAAGAGCTAACTATCTTAAATATGTATGCACCCAATACAGGAGCACCCAGATTCATAAAGCAAGTTCTTAGAGACCTACAAAGAGACTTAGACTCCCACATAATAATAGTGGGAGGCTTTAACACCCCACTGACAGTATTAGACAAATTATTAAGACAGAAAATTAACAAAGATATACAGGACCTGAACTCAGCTCTGAATCAAGTGGACCTGATAGATATCTACAGGACTCTCCACACAAATTCAATAGGATATATATTCTTCTCATCACCACATGGCACTTACTCTAAAATTGATCACATAATCAGAAGTAAAACACTCCTCGGTAAATGCAAAAGAACTAAAATAATCATAAACAGTCTCCCAGACCAGAGTGCAATCAAATTAGAAATCAAGACTAAGAAATTCACTCAAACCACACAGCTACATGGAAATTGAACAACTTGCTCCTGAATGACTCTTGGGTAAATCATGAAATTAAGGCAGAAATCAAGAACTTATTTGAAACTAATGAGAACAAAGAGACAACGTACTAGAATCTCTGAGATGCAGCTAAAGCAGTGTTAAGAGGGAAAGTTATAACACTGAATGCCCACATCAAAACACTAGAAAAATCTCAAGTTAATGACCTAACGTCTCAACTAAAAGAACTAGATAACTAAGAGCAAACAAACCCCCAATCTAGCAGAAGACAAGAAATAACCAAGATCAGAGCTGAAATGAAGGAGATAGAGACATAAAAAATACTTCAAAAAAACCAACAAATTGAGAAGCTAGTCTTTTGAAAAAGTTAATAAAATAGACTGCTAGCTAGACTAATAAAGAAGAAAAGACAGAAGAATAAAATAAATACAATCAGAAATGATAAAGGGGATGTTATCACTGACCCCACAGTAATACAAACAACCATCAGAGAATACCATAAACACCTCTATGTACATAAACTAGAAAATCTAGAAGAAATGGTTATATTTCTGGACACATACACCCTTCCAAGACTGAACCAGGAAGAAATTGAATCCCTGAATACACCAATAATGAGTTCTGAAATTAAGGCAGTAATAAATAGCCTACCAACCAAAAAAAGCCCAGGACTAGATAGATTCATAGATGAATTCTATTAGAGGTACTAAGAAGGGCTGGTACCATTTCTACTGAAACTATTCCAAAAAATTGAAAAGGAGGGACTCCTCCCTAAGTGATTCTATGAGGGCAGCATCATCCTGATACCAAAACCTAGCAGAGATACAATAAAAGAAAATTTTAGTCTATTGTCCTTGATGAACACTGATGCAAAAATCCTCAATAAGATACTGACAAACTGAGTCTAGCAGCACATCAAAAAGCTTATCCACCATGATCAAGTTGGCTTCACCCCTGGGATGCAAGCTTCTTGGTTCAGCATACACAAATCAATAAATGTGATTCATCACATAAACAGAACTAAAGACAAAAACCACATGATTATCTTAACAGGTGCAGAAAAGGCCTTCAATAAAATTTAAAATCCCTTTACGTTAAAAACTTTCAATAAGCTAGGTGCTGAAGGAACATACCTCAAAATATTAAGAGCCATATATGATAAACCCACAGCCAATATCATACTGAGTGGGCAAAAGCTAGAAGCATTCCCCTTGAAAAGCAGCCCAAGACAAGGCTGCCCTCTCTCACCACTCCTATTCACCTTAGTATTGCAAGTTCTGGCCAGAGCAATCAGGCAAGAGAAAGAAATAAAAGGTATTCAAACAGGAGGAGAGAAAGTCAAATTGTCACTGTTTGCACATGACATGATTTTATTCTAGAAAACTCAATCATTTCAGCACAAAAGCTTCTTAAGCTGATAAGCAACTTTAGCAAAATCTCAGGATATGAAATTAATGTGCAAAAGTCCCTAGCATTTCTATGCACCAACAATGGGCAAGCAGAGAGCCAAACTATGAATGAACTCTTATTAACAATTGCTACAAAAGAAATAAAATACCTAGGAATACAGCTAATGAGGGAAGTGAAGAACCTCTTCAAAGAGAATTATAAGCCACTGCTCAAAGAAATCAGAGATGACACAAAGAAATGGAAAAACATTCCATGTTCATGGATAGGAAGAATCAATATCATGAAAATGGTCATACTGCCCAAAGTAATTTATAAATTCAATGCTATTCCTATTAAACCACCGTTTAAATTCTTCACAGAATTAGAAAAACTATTTAAAAATTCACCTGGAACCAAAAAAGAGCCCAAATAGCCAAGGCAATTCTAAACAAAAAGAACAAAGCTGGAAGCATCACACTACCTGGCTTCAATCTGTACTGTGAGGCTACAGTAAACAAAACAGCATGGTACTGGTACAACAACAGACATCTAGACCAATGGAACAGAATAGAGAATTCAGAAATAAGACCACACACTTACAACCATTTGATCTTCAGTGAACTTGACAAAAACAAGCAATGGAGAAAGGACTCCCTATTTAGTAAATGGTGCCGGGAGTACTGGCTAGCCATATGTAGAAAATGGAAATTGGACCTCTTCCTTACACAATATACAAAAATTAACTCAAGATGGATTAAAGACTTAAATGTAAAACCCCAAACTCTAAAAACCCTAGGAGAAAATCTTGGCAATACCATTCAGGACACAGGCATGGGCAAAGATTTCATGATGAAAACGTCAAAAGCAATTGTAACAAAAGCAAATATTGACAAATGGGATCTAATTAAACTAAAGAACTTCCCGGCAAAAGAAATTATCATCAGAGTTAATTGACAAACTACAGAATGAGATAAAAATTTTTGCAATCTATCCATCTGACAAAGGTCTAATATCCAGTCTACATAGAACTTAAACAAATTAAACAAATTAACTTAACCCTATTAAACAGTGGGCAAAGGACATGAACAGACTACTTCTCAGAAGACATTTATGCAGCCAACAAACATGAAAAAATGCTCAACATTACTGATCATTAGAAAAATGTAAATCACAACCACAATGATATACCATCTTACATCAGTCAGAATGCCAATTATTAAAAAGTCAAAAAAAAAAAACAGATGCTGATGACGTTGTGGAGAAAAAGGAACTCTTTCACACTGTTGGGAGTGTAAATTAGTTCAAACATTCTGGAAGACAGTGTGATGATTCCTCAAAGGCCTAGAGGCAGAAATACCATTTGACCCAGCAATCCCATTACTGGGTATATATCCAAAGAAAGAGAAATCATTTTATTATAAAGATACATCATGTGTATGTTCTTTGCAGCACTATTCACAATAGCAAAGACATAGAATCAACCTAAACGCCCATTAATGACAGACTGTATAAAGAAAATGTGGTACTTATACACCATGGAACACTATGCAGCCATAGAAAAGAACAAGATCATGTTCTTTGCAGAGACATGGATGGAGTTGGAAGCCGTTCTTCTCAGCAAACTAATGCAGAAAGAGAAAACCAAATGCTGCATGTTGTAAGTATGAGCTGCGTGATGAGAACACATGGACATATGGCGGGAAACACTGGAGCCTTTTAGGGGTGGGGGAAGAGAGAGCATCAGGAAGAATAGCTAATGAATTCTGAGCTTAATACTTAGGTGATGGCATGATCTGTGCAGCAAACCACCATGGCACATGTTTACCTATATAACAAATCACATCTTGCACATGTACCCCTGAACTTAAAAGTTTAAGGAAAAAAAATACAATTGATGATTAGGGATATTTATATTGCTCAAAATATTATTTTATTTAGCATTTTATTGAACTGATTGATTTAAGAATTTCAATTTTATTTTTTTCACATAATTTTTTGACTGTAAATTTGTCCTTATAACTATAAAAAATATAAGAATAATATCACTTTTAGGAGCTGTGCAATTTGATGGACTGTTATATCTACTTCTATATTTCTGCTATTATTTTAATGATATATCTCTTAGTTTAAATATTGGAATTGTATGTATTTGTATTTGTTCAAATATAAAAACTGGTTTCTTTCTTGTTTTTGCATTTTACTATTAGTTATAAAACTATTAAGTACTGTATTTGAATTCTTTAACATAGATTTTTAAATTTGACAAAATATAACACAACTGAATATTAAAATGTTACAAAATATAATATTAAAATAAAATTTTAGTTTAATATAAATGTCTCTTACTTTTATATGATCATAGCATGTGGGATGTTATGCTTGTAGATTTAAATATAAATACACATTAAATGGAGTTATTTTTTCGCAAGCCCTACTCCATTCTAGACTGACCAGAATAAACTCCCTGAATTCCACAATTTGGTTTAGAATCATTTTATGAAATTTCTTATTATAAAATTTCCAGAAGTATTATTTAATTTGGATAAAAATTAGCTGTAATTGAAACGTAGATAACTGGAGAAAATAGAGACCTGACAAAAAGTTAAGAATTCCATTGGTGCTTCTGGCACATTATAAATAATCAACTAAAGAAAATGCTAAAAAAAATACCAACCTTAGTAGTGTATTGATTTTTTCAATGCACTTCAGCATCTATATAAGTAGTTTTCTTAAACATACAAATTAAGTGCATTAGAAAAAAAAACCAATACTTGGTTTATTAAAAAGGATTAGAAAGAGTTGTATAATAATTTTCTTCCTAATCTTTAATAGATACCAGAAAAATTTATTTGTGATGACCAAGAGAACTCTAATACTGCTTTATAGTTCATTAACTTCAATATTTAATTTCTAGAAATTAACCAATAAATCAACTTTATATCAATAGTTCCTTAATTTTTAAAGCTCTTTTTAAGTCAATACATTTATTTGGATGTCTTCAGACTGTTGCTTTAATTAAATTAATTCAATTAAATTAACTAAATTTTTAGAAGAAAGAAATTCTTACATAAAACATGAAGTGGCTTAATAGTCAAATTTTACATTTTTCAGTAAGTATTAAATTAAAAGAAGAAACTACTGTAATAATTCTCAACATGAATTCTCAACATTCTAAAGTGTTATGTTACATTGTATGTGGTAATTAGCAATTCAAATAATTCACTATCTGTCTTCATCAAGACTTGAAAATGGTCAGACAAAACAGACTGAACACATTATATCCTTTTCAATTCATACAAGCTACAGAAAACATTGATGTTGATTACAGATGTAAATGTCTCTTACTTTCATATGGTTTATATTGAAACTAATAATTATTACATATTTATTTATCAGTTATATCTATTCTCAAAGGCTAGAGGACTTTTGAAGAAGTGTTGCTGTATATTTGTTCTCAATTTAATCTAAATACTTTTAAAAATCTGTATGTTCAATAGAAATGTGATAAAACCAGACATCTGGTTTATACACCTGCTTAGCAATCAAACAGTGAGCCTGGTTAGAGGGTTGACCTCTCCACTTCTCAGTTTTCTCATCTTTATATTTAAAAAGAGTATTCTTCTGGCTTGATTGTTGTGTTAAATTAGACAAAGTATATGAAGTCTTTGAACAATGCAAAAGACATAGTGTATGTTGAATAGGTTCTTACTACCTTTGCAATTGCAGTAGATAATTTTCCAGATCATTCTAGCCAATAGTGCAGTCATGACTCTAGATAACAAAAAACCTGTATTATGCCATGACCAGGCTCACAAAAAGATTTATTAGAAAGGTTGGGCCAGGCGCAGAGCTCACACCTATAATCCCAGCACTTTGGGAGGCCAAAGTGGATGGATAACTTGAGGTCAGGATTTTGAGACCAGCCTGGCCAACATGGTGAAACCCCATCTCCACTAAAAATACAAAAATTAGCCAGATGTGGTGGCAGGAGCCTGTAATCCCAGCTACTCTGGAGGTTGTGGCAGGAGAATCGCTTGAACCCGGGATGGCAGAAGTTGCAGTGAGCCGAGATCGCGCCACTGCATTCTAGCCTGGGCACAGAGTGAGTCAGACTCCGTCTAAAAAAATAAAAAATAAAAAAATGAAGTTTGTCAGCCCAAGCCCTTGTCTCTTCAAGGTCAAGGTAATTTTTTATTGCATTTCATTAAGAGCCATTTTTTGTACATTTGCTACTTGATTTCTTTGTCTTGTGGCCACCAGCCCCATCATCTCTCTCTGTAGAGCCACAGCCTACCACCTATTTAGAAGTGTTACAGCGTTGAACCGAGATGGGGTTGAGATCACTACCACATAATCTATGTTCAGAGATGGGGCATGGTTGACATTTTCTCCTTTAATTTCTCCTCATATTGCCAAAACCCTTACCAGATGTCTCCTATCTGGTCGAGAAATCAAGCAAAATAACATCCTGGTGTTCTTGTGTATCCATTCTGTCTAAAAGCTTCACCCCAGGTAAGGAAGTCAGTTCATTTTGTGCCTCCTTTCTTCTGACTTCAATGTACCCTGATTTTCTCCATATTTTCTAACTTCTCCTATCAGACCTCAGCACCTCATAAGTTGTTATTGTCTCATAATTTGATAAACTGTATGACCTAAAGTTTAATAGGTTTTGTTAACCTAAGTCAAGACTTATATTTGAAATTTCTATTTCTTTATATTTCACAGTGGCATAGATATTAGAGCCATCAATTGCTAATGTAAATATATTTTGGATGGCCTAGTCTTGGCTAGCTTCACTTGGTCCAAGTGAAATGAATGTCAATCAAGGAGAATCAAATTTCATGTATAATACCCGAACTTTAACACACTACACAACCATTTTTGGTCCATGGCATAGCAATTTAAATCACGGTCTCACACATGAATGACGGGGATGTTGTTGGGTTCTTGTCATGTGTTCCTGTCAAACAAGATAATTTTTATTATAATTTTATTTATTTATAATGTTATACAAAGCATAAATATAATTTTGACTAGCAATATATCTCCACTGTTATGCAGAATGAATGATCTCTGTCTTTACCGAGAAAAAAAATGCATCATCATAAGTTAGTATAGTATTTTATCCAGGTGGAATATTGTCTAGGCATTAAATGACAATTGCAGAGTGACAAAAGCAATTTTCTGGAAAATGTGCTTATACAATGATAAATATTGAGATAAACATAGAAAAAACAGTATATTAACTGGATATTTTAAAATGCAAATTCAACCACATTTGGAATAATTGTTGGATTTTTTGTTTTATTATAAATTATTGGCACTGTTTGGATACAGATTTTGTTTACTTTGCAACACAGTATTACATCACTGATAATTTTAAACATTTTTAGTGAGTAGTGCATAGCTCTAGAATATATTTAGTTCCAGCATACCCAAATCGTAGCTACTAACAGTTAACAATTAATAAGAGGGGACACCACCAATAAGGTGCACAGGACCCTCTCCATTTTCATTCTTGAAAGCAATATTAAATTGTTTCAAAGTATATTATGTAGTAAATGGAATGATAAATTATATTCATCAGGACATTCTTGCTTCAAAAACACTTGTTTCTTATTTCAAACAACCCACTCTTGCATTCTACATTGACCAAACACCTTAAGCAATTTCCCATTTACACTTTATTTTACTGCATTTTGCATGCACTTCTAAAATTCAATTTAACATTAATGTCATTTTGTGTACTGTGTTATTTATATTAGATGTCTGCATTGATCTTGCTCACTAGATATTTGATAAAGTTCTACTTTGCTGTGCTACTCAAATATAAGGTTGATGAAATTCTTTCTCCATTAACAGTTCTTCAAACATGCGAGGAAACTTTAGAATATGCAAACCTACCATAAAACATTTCCCTTTAAACAGAATTGTGCTAAAACAGAGCAACCAGAAGGTATCCTGAGCTTTGCACAAGCATGAACTGTCAGTGTATTTAGTATCTCAAGAGAAAAACTCCTCATCTAGAAGTAACATAATAGTCAAAACATTCAAGAAAATGGTTCATAAATGATGCATCGTAAAAGGTGACAGAGAAAAGCCTGAATAGAGAGCGGGCGAAAAAGGTGACAGAGAAAAGCCTGAATAGAGAGCAGGCGAATAATGTGTGAATATAGCAAGGAGATATAAATAGTTCAATCACAAGGGAATAGCAAGCAGAAACTGTCAAACAGGATTACTTTTCGTAAGTCTCAGGGATGATAAAATAAATGTTGAAAGATAGAGGGTAGAAAGTAATGAGAGAAAAGAAAAGTGCCACAAATAAAAATCAGACCAAAGTTTCAAAAAACCTATTTAAAAATACCTAATGCCATAATAGGAAGAGAAAGGAGGGAGGGAGGGAGAGAGAGAGAGAGAGAGAGAGAGAGAGAGAGAGAGAGAGAGAGAGAGAGAGAGAGAGAGAGGAGACAGAGAGTGTGTGAAAGAGGAATGGAATCATTTTAACATAGCATTATTTTTAAACTTTTTTTTTTTTTGAGATAGGATCTTATTCTATCACCCAAGCTGGAGTGCAATGTTGTGATCATGGCTCACTGCAGCATCAAAATCCTGGGCTCACATAATCCTCCCACCTCAGCCTCCCAAGTAGCTGGGACTAGAGGCATGTGTCACCACACCTGGCTAATTTTTGTAGAGACACGGTCTTGCCATGTTGCCCAGGCTGTTCTCAAACTCCTAGACTCAAGCGATCCTCCTGCCTTGGCCTCTAAAGTGCTGGGATTAAGGCACGAGTCATCATGACTGGCCTATTTAAAACATTTTGTGCATATGTTCTCTTAAAAGCTGTTCCATAATACTGCAGTAGGCAGAATGATGAGCCAGAGAAACATCCAAATCCTAATTCCTGAAATGTTTGAGTATGTTAGATGACATGGCACAAGGGAATTTGCAGATATTTTTAAGTTAAAGATCTTGCAATAGGGAGATTGTGCTGGATTATTCGGGTGGTCTCAATGTAATCGCAAGAGTGAGAGTGAAAGAGGGAGGCAGGAGAGTGGCTGTCAGAGTGATTCAGCTCAAGAAAGTCTTGGCCAAGCCATTGCTTATGTTGAGATGGAGGAAGGAGCCAAGAGCCAAGGGATGTGGGCTGAGGGATGCAGGCAGCCTTTAGAACTAGAAAGGTAGGGAATGTGTTCTCCCTGGAGCCTCCAGAAAGAAGGCAGCTCTGCTGATACCTTGGATTTTAGCTGACTGAAACTCATTTCAGACTCGTGACCTTCAGAACTGTAATATAGTATATTTGTGTTGCTTTAAGTCACTAAGTTTATGGCAATTTTTTACAGCAGCCAGAGGAATCTAATAATAAAAAAAACTATTAAGACAGCATTGAATCCTCATTAGAAATAAGAAAACTGACTTCTAAACATGCTATGCTATTAAATATTTAACCAATATTTCAACACATAGCCAGGCCTGAAATGCAGACTTTTCCTACTCTAAAACCTAACCTCGTGGCACTACCTTTAACTGCCATGTCACTGAAGATGTAGAAATATTTAATATTATAACAATATTATTATATATTATATAATATAATATATAATTATATATAAAATATTATAATTATTATATAATATAATATATAATATAATATATAATTATATATAATATATTATTATAATACATAATTATATTAGTCTTAATTGTATATATTTTACATTATATTATAATAAATTTATATTATAAATAAATAATTATATATAAATATACATTATATTTATATTGTATTATATTTATATATTATACGTATATTTATATTTATATATAACATATATATCTTATATATAATATATATCTTATTATATATTATATACAATATTTTATATATAAGATTTAATATTCTTATATACAATATTTTATATATTCTAATATATCATATATTATATAGTATGTAATATATATTTTATATAATGCAGAAATAAAATATAATATCATAATCATTATAATTATAATTATAATGATTATCATAATCATTATATATTATAATTATAATGATTATCATAATCATTATATATTATAATTATAATGATTATCATAATCATTATATATTATAATTATAATGATTATCATAATCATTATATAATTATAATGATTATCATAATCATTATATATTATAATTATAATGATTATCATCATCATTATATATTATAATTATAATGATTTAATCATTATATATTATAATTATAATGATTATCATAATCATATATTATAATTATAATGATTATCATCATCATTATTATTATAATTATAATGATTATCGTCATCATTATTATTATAATTATAATGATTATCGTCATCATTATAATTATGATTATCGTCGTCATTATATATTATAATTATAATGATTATCGTCATTATATATTATAATTATAATGATTATCGTCATTATATATTATAATTATGATTATCGTCATCATTATATATTATAATTATGATTATCGTCATCATTATATATTATAATGATGATCATCATTATATATTATAATTATAATGATGATCATCATTATAATTATAATTATAATGATTAACGTCATCATTATATATTATAATTATAATGATTATCGTCATCATTATATATTATATATAATATTAAAATATTATATATAATATTAAAATATTATATATAATATTAAAATATTATATATAATATTAAAATATTATATATAATATATAATGATGATGAATATAATATTCAAATATTATATATAATATTCAAATATTATATATAATATTAAAATATTATATATAATATTCAAATATTACGTATACAATATTATATATGAACTATTAAAATATTATAGATAATATTATATAAAATATTAAAATATTATATACATTTAATGTTATATAATATTATATATAATATATAATAAAATATATAATATTAAAATATTATATATAAAAAATAAAATATTATATAATATTATAATATTATAAAATATTAAAATATTTATTATATATAATGTTAAAATATTTTATATATAATGTTAAAATATTTTATATGTAATATTATATATAAAATATTAAAATATTATATACATTTAATATTATATATAATATATAATATATAATAAAATATATATAATATTAAAATATTATATATAATATATAATAAAATATAAAATATTATATATAATATATAATAAAATATATATATTAAAATATTATATATAATATATAATAAAATATATATAAAAATATTATATATAATATATAATAAAATATATATATTAAAATATTATATATAATATATAATAAAATATAAAATATTATATATAATATTAAAATATTATATACAATATATAATAAAATATAAAATATTATATATAATATATAATAAAATGTATATAATATTAAAATATTATATATTATATAATAAAATATATAATATTAAAATATTGTATATAATATATAATAAAATATATATAATATTAAAATATATATTATATATAATAAAAATATATATTAAAATATATATAATATATAATGAAATATATATAATATGTAATAAAATATATATATTAAAATATATATAATATATAATAAAATATATGTATTAAAATATATAATATATAATAAAATATATAACATTAAAATGTTATATATATAATATTTTAATAAAATCAATAATATTAAAATATATATTTTAATAAAATCAATAATATTAAAATATATATTTTAATAAAATATATAATAATTTAATAAAATATATAATAAAATACTACATATAATATTAAATACTATATATAATATTCGAATATTATATATTACACATTATATATTATATTATATCATTATAATATTATATTAGTCTTCATTTTATATATTATATCTTAATATTATATGTTCTTAATATTATAATAATAATAAGAATCATTTTTACAATGAAGTGTCTTGATATAACTGATAACAGTAGAACAACTTTATTGCCAAATATGAGTATGTACATGTTTGCATGCATTCACATGCAATTAAAATGATAGGTTTCAGTCTCTCAGTGAGCTTGTGCCCCGGGCTATGACTTTTACAAGTGCTTCTCTGGTTTTACTGTCTCTAGGTGAGACAATAAATCCTGGTGCCTGATGTCAGGTATTTTTCTTCACGCACATCAAGGAATAGAGGTGGTTTAATTTGAATATTTCCATTTCCCTGGATCAGTTAGGCGCTGGTAAATTAGTTTCTTTGGAGGGCAGTACTTTGTTGACAGAACTGAGAGCTCAGGCTTATTTTTAAATGGCGACTTTTTTGCCCTCCAGATGAAATCACAGGGGATTTTTCTGTAGTTTTTTTACAAAACCTGGTAGGGCTGCCGGAGGTAAATCTCTCAAAAATTTGAGGCCCCCTGAAACTCATCCCCACCAGGGTTTTTAACTGTCAGAGTTGTCCACGTTGAGCCATCAGTAATTTTTTAATAATAATTTATGTCTTTTCAACACTGCAGCCATAGTAGTGGGCTTTTGCCTCTGAACTTCCGTTCTTCATAAGCTGTGATTCTCAGTCTCTGCTTGTCTCTCCAGTTTTCAGGTCAGTGGTTTGCCCTGTGACTTTAATTCTTTGCTGTATCTAAAGAAAGGTGTTGATTTTCAGTTTGTTCAGCTTTTTCCTTGCTGAGAGGATGAGGGTGATGACTTCCAAGCTTTTTTTAATGTTGGATCAGAAAATGGGATTCTGCTGTGTCTTTTTGCATGACTGCATTCGACCATCTTATTACTTTCTCATGGTCTTCTTGTTCATTTCTTGCTCATTCTTAGAATCACACATTTTCCTGAAGTTGTGTTTTAGTGGAATTGCATATTTGAAGATCACTCTTAGAGTATTAGGGATATTTATTGCTACTGGGTTGTCTTTGCTTCTCAACCTTTTGGGAAAATAGAGCTGGATAATTGTATGATTTTGGAAAGAAATAAATTTTGAATTTGTATCAGTATTTTGAACTTGTTCCTAATGACATGAAAACATTTCTTATTTACTTTATTTCCACAATATACATTTACTGGTTTCAAAATGTCAAATGAAACGTTACCACTAGCAACAATATTATTGAATGCCGTTTAGGATCTCTTTCAGTTCTTTTTGTCTTTATTTCAGTAGTAATTTTTGAAGTCACTTTTGGTGGGGTATTGTGGCAGGCCAGATCTCACTAATGCAGGCCTCCATAACAATTGTTTCAGTGCTGACTGAGTGGTTAAGTTAAACATTAAAAGCCAGTGCCCCTATACAAAGGCTGGGCTGTAACAAAAGCCAACCAAGAGTTTTGCCTAGGCCTTTTCTGGGGCGTAAAGCATGACAAAATAATGAAGGAATTCTTTACAGGACCCGTTTAGGATTAAACAAGTTTTATTGTGGGTCTGAAGAAACTCCCCAGGCCTCCACAAACAAGTTTATTGGGAGTCTGAAGGAACTCCCCAAACCTTTGTGTTTTAGCAGGAGACAAGATAAGGGTGATCACCCCAGCACCGGTACCTATTTAGATTAAGTAAATTTACTGAGGCTCCAGCAGAAGTTCTTTAGGACTCAGATTTGAAGACCTTAGTTATTGATTAAAAGAAGTTAATAACTTATGTCTCTAGATGAATGCACACTTACATGTAGACGTATAGCTTAGAAGGTATGTAAGCTCTGGAAAATTTTGTAATTTTGAGTTGGTCTGGCGATAATTTCCAGGCCTTCTCTGTGTAACCGGTTGCAGAAATAAAAACTCTCTTCCTCCCCAGTTCATCTGCATCTCGTTATTGGGCCACAAGAAATAGCAGCCCAACCCTCAGTTTGGTCTGGGAACAAAATTTGGCATGGCAGCCAGAAGAGACTGGGACAGTGCTGTGTTCAGTGGCCAGTGGCTTGTAATGAGATAGTCTTCAGGAGGATCCCAGCAGCTGCCAGTGAGATTTTCCCCAGGGACTCTCCCAAGGGGTGTTCTGTGCACAAAATTGCACGTCCCTTTCACTACTGGGAAAGAACAGAGATCAGGAGCAGATTTGGTCAAAGGATGAGGTAATCGAGCATATGTAGGGAGCCTATTGTTTTCCTGTCTAGGCTAAGCCATTTGTCCAGTACCACCAAGGGAAGCAATACCACCTGCTTTGCATTTTGGTTGAAATCAGATTTTGAGTTGGTTTTGAGTTGCCTGAGTGCACTCCCCATTGTGTTGTCCAAAATTTGTCTCCATTTGTTTATGTATCTGTCTTATTCCTTTTGATACCATGTAAACTTGAAAATGGGAGATATTGGGTTAATCCTTGTTGAGAGGTCTCTGGGAAGGAAAAATATTTTTTTTAGTGGATCAGTGATTAAAAGTCAGCTTCATTAAAAGCTAACATCCAAGATGTGTGTATTTATGTGTGCATGTTTGTATTTAAAAAGCCTTCACGCTTTTGTTTTTGTTTTGTTTATTTCTCTCCTAGCACCTTGTCTTTTTTGAGCAAAAGTTTTTTTTCTTCTTAGTTCACTGAATTCTGTTTTCTTCATTAATAGCTATTACAACAGAAGCTCCTCTGGGGTTTCTAAGAAAAAGTGTAATTTGGACACTTAGAAATGTCTTTGTTTGGAAAAAAAAATTTTTTTAAGTGTACTGTAAAAGTATCACATGGTCCAGCCTCATAATAATTCTCCCTTTTTGAAAACCCAGGATTCAGTGTGGGCTTTGCCCAGTGCTTAAAGATCCAGTTAAAGGGTAGGTAGTCAATATCAAAATAAAGTTAGGCTCCTTACACAGTCCTATGATAAATTTCTATAATTTTATGTTTGATTTGGCATCCATCTTTAATCTCCCTCTAGCACCACCCAGACATTTTCTCTGTGTACCTTGAGATGTAAATCTTGCCATTTGATTTTTCCCCTAAGAGTTGTTTCTTTTAATATGCAGATTTAGGGCTATTTAGTTGACAAATTCCAGAGTAATAAACCAGGTTATCAAGAGTTTGCAAGTCTAAGATAGGAAAAAGGAAGTCTTATGAATCTGTAAAATGTACTTCTATTGGCATGCCTAATACGTCTATGTATTTATGTCTTGTGTAGACCATGTTTTACTACGGAAAATATATGAAAGAGTTCTAATTAATTGGCTCAAAGAAAAATAAAAGTGCTTAAATACTTTAACAGAAAAAGAAAAACTAGTCAAATCCTTTTCAACTTTATGTGACTTAAGTAAAATCTTTAATAAATAAGCTAGCTTTAAAATCATTGGTAAAGTAATATTAGACATATCTTAAAATTACCAGTATACATTTTTGTTTGCATTTATTGATCAGGCAATTGCATACTTATCCCTGCCAAATACTATAAGGTGTCAAAATTTGGCACTATAACTATAACTCAGCCCAAAACAGAATGATCTTTGCTTGTATAATTTTTAATAAATAAAATATTAATATTGGTTTAATGAAGATAACTACTTCTTAAATTATTTAGTAAAATACCCTAACTTCTAATCTTGTGGCCTTAGGAAGTCTCGTCCAAAGACATAAAGAAAGTTTTTCTGGGAAAAGATTGTTATCATTTTTGTTTCACAGCTAAACTATAAACTAAGTTAATGAACAAGAACAGCTTGGAGGTTAGAAATAAGATGGAGTCATTTAGGTGGGATCATTTTCACCGTCTCAGTTTTAATATTACAATGGTGGTTTCATAACTTTAAATGATGACTGTCATGGTTTTCATAAATAATCTAGGTAAATGATTAAAATATATAATTAGATAAATGTAATGGGACACTCATAAATTTGTCATAATTTAGAATTTAAAGCTATATTAAATTAAACAACTGACATTTCATTATTTGGGTATTTTCCAATAAAATATATTTTAGGAAAACAGTCTTTCTAAAAACTGTGTCCTTTTGAAAGGGAACTAACTTTTGTCTAATTCAAAACTTATTTAAAGGCTATATATAAAACAATGTAAAAGAAAGTTATAAAAATAAAGAGAGTTTCAAAGATTATTGGTAAAATAAAAATATCTTCAAAAAATGTAAACATTTAGTCTAAATTATGCAGGTCAAATATTAGGTTTGCTAATGCTTTAGGTCATAAACTGCTTCTTTGACTTAAAAATTGTCCAATTTATTTTGGAGTGTTAAATTCTAGATAAGTCCTGGGGACATATGAAATTAACCATGCCCCTAGCTATGCAAAAAGGTATTAAAGAAAAGAGATTTTATATAAGAAAGGATCTTGTATGGTAATTTCTTGTCCTAAAGTAAAATAACTGGTTGTTTAAAAAGAGGCATGTTGTCAGAAGTCAGAAAGTCAAGGCATGTCATAGCTTGTCTGTGCAGTCATGAAAGAATTTATGAAAGGGGATTTATGCAAGAAATATTGCACAATTTAAAGGTAATTAGACCTCCTAAATGCTTTATAAAATACCACTATGACTCTTAGCTGTACAACTTGCCTGCTTTACAGCTAGGTAAGACCTGGAACACATGGAGTTAAACACTAGAATAAGTCAGACCTTATCTGCACTTCTGTCAAGGTCCTAGGCCCCACATCTAGTACATAATGAAAGCGCCAAACTTAACAAGGTTTTCACCAAAAGTAAAGGTTGTTAAGAGTTAACAGTGTAACATGTATTTAAGAACTACTGGGCTGGGTGCGGCCTGTAATCCCAGCACTTTGAGAGGCTGAGGTGGGCTGATGACCTGAGGTCTGGAGTTCGAGACCAGCCTGACCAACATGGTGAAGCCCCGTCTCTACTAAAAATACAAAAAAAATTTAGCCAGGCGTGGTGGTGGGTGCCTGTAGTCCGAACTACTCGGGAGGCTGAGGTAGGAGCATAACTTGAACCCAAGAGGCTGAGGTTGCAGTGACCTGAACCTGAGATAGCATCATCACACTCCAGTCTGGGCGACAGAATGAAACTCTGTTTCAAAAAAAAAAAAAAAAAAAAAAAAAAAGAGCTATTGAAGAAACAGTCTACATGCAAGGTGTGTAAAGAAAGTAAAATATACTTTTGGTAAAAAGATTATAATGAAGTATGAGAATGTGGATTTTTTGCCTGAAGTTTAAAGGTTTATTTTAAGTTGGATAAAATAAAGCTGAAGTTTAAGCAAGTTGTGGAAGGTTGATTGTAAAGGAAGTTCTGTGTGTAAACATATTGGCTAAAGTTAAAGGGTTATCATCCATTTTTTTTTCCTGTAAATTGAGCATTAAAATAAAAATACACCAGATTTCTCTTAGAGCACTAACATCCTCTTTAAAAAAATTGTAAAGGGTTATAAAAGGTCTATGAAAATCTTACTTATGGTCAAACATTAAAATTGGGTAAATAGGTCTGTAAGGTTTTATTAAGAATTGGGTTTAACATTAATAGTACACTAATGTGAAGGTGAAATTTGGGTTACTTGGTATAAAAATTTTACAGGAAGCATTGTCAAATATGAAATCGTGTTTGGCTTTCTTTGGGCTGTATTAGTGTAATATGTTACTGATATGTGTCCCCAAATCATGTGAAACGCCTATAATTCTGATGTATCTTAGTGTATGTTACCAGTAATAATTATAATTGTTATGTTAAATTATTGTGTGCCACAGAGGTAACAGATATTCTTGTCAATTGTGTCTTTAAAGATGGCTACCCTAAAACTTTTTGTCATTCATAAACAGTTGTCTTGTTTTGGTCCTCTTTAGAAGGTGGCTTTATAATCAGCTATAAAGCTCTCACAGGTGCACTTGAATGCAGATTTCTGATAATTTTGGAGATTGTGACATCAGAATAGGGGAAAAATATTCAGGACTCTTGAAGAGCTAAAATGTTCATTAATATCAAGCAGGACAGGAATTAAATGCATGAACTGAACTAATAGGAGACTGAAGTGATCATTTTGATATTTTGCTTAAATGTTGCTCATCCTTTGTTTTGCTTTTCAGAGTCAAAGACTTTTCTTTTGAGCTATTAACCGCTTTTGACAAGTATATGCCTATGAACAAAATTTGAAGCATATTTATTTCTCTCTAACTATTTTCTCTAGAATTTGGAAGTTATTTGTGAGTATTCTTAATTTATGGCAATATGGTTATTTGCATAAGTGCAATAAGGATCTGTTTTCTTTTGAAAGAGGACACAATTGAAAAAACTGGTTATTTTGCCAAGGCTTTGATGGGAATGGTATGCCCTCCTTTAAAGAATCAAACTAGACTTATGAAGCCAAGAAAGTCCTTGGAAAACTGGCCTTGTATTTTGTGTACACAGTCCCTGTACAGGGTTTCTGATCTGTGATAATTAAAGAATGTCACTTTCTGACAAGCCAGAAACCCCAAGTTATCTTGGAACCTCAAGAAGAGAGGAATCCACCCAACTCATAGGTATTTGATGGTACAAATCCATGACTGGGCTCAGCATTAAAAAGATCTTATCTTAGATTCCTTCCATGGAACAAAGCTCCATCAAAGTGAATTTAAAAGGCCTATGTGAAAAATAATTATTCTTGCTGCACTATATACAAATAATGAAGCCAAGTATAATAAAGCAAGCTAGTCCTACCATGATTTGTCTTTTAATAAAAATGGGAAACTGGAAAGGGGAAAATTATGTTTCAAAAACTATAGTACACCTATTGTTAAATTCTAGTCTTGCCTGATGTTTTTCAACTTTTATTATTTTCTACAGTTTGGGTTAAATTCTAATTTTTCTGGCTACAAATCTCCAAAATAATGTTTTCATTTCTTTTTCTTTTCCTTTTTCCACATTTATCCTAATTTGAAATTACTGAAACCTAAGCTGTGCTTTCTTAAATCCCTGTGAACTGAAGACTAGACAGCTTAAACTTCAGAAGAAAACAGCAGCATCCTATTTATATGTGTTGCTGTTGCATACTATTATGTTTCAGCAGGTGCTGCCTCTAAGTCCCCAAAACAGAGAGTGCTACTGGGAACAAATCAACCTCTCCCACTCCAGCGATGTGTGTGGTACCTCATAACAATGACCCCCACTCTCAGCAGGAAGTAGCCAGAAAGATTATGATGCCCCATCTCCCTACAATTCTCATGACAAATAAATATACAAACCTGAAAGAAATCATGCACAAATTGACAGTGGGGATTGTGGCAGGCCAGGTCTCACTAATGCAGGCCTCCATAACAACTGTTTCAGTACTGACTGAATGGTTAAGTTAAATATTAAAAACCCGTGCCCTTATGCAAAGGCTGGGCTGTAACAAAAGCCAACCAAGAGTTTTGCCTAGGCCTTTCCTGGGCCTTAAATCATGACAAAATAACAAAGGAATTCTTAACAAAACCCATTTAGGATTAAATAAGTTTTATTGTGGGTCTGAAGAAACTCCCCAGGACTCCACAAACAAGCGTATTGGGAGTCTGAAGGAACTCCCCAGACCTTCATGATTTAGTAGGAGACAAGATAAGGGTGATCTCCCCAGGACCTAACACATTTAGATTAAGTAAGTTTACTGAGGTTCCAGAGGAAGCTCTTCAGGACTCAGACCTTAGTTAGAGATTAAAAGAAGTTAACTACCTATGTCTTTAGAGAATGCACACTTACACATAGACATATAGCTTAGAAGGTATATAAGTTCTGGAAAACTTTGTAATTTTGAGTTAGTCTGGTGATAATTTCCAGGCCTTCTCCCTGTAACCAGTTGCAGAAATAAAAACTCTTTTTCTCCCCGGTTCATCTGCATCTCATTATTGGGCCACGAGAAATAGCAGCCCAACCTCAGTTTGGTCTGGGAAGAGTATGACACTCATTTGACATAGTTACGTTCTTTTACGTGACATCATATGCTTATTTTTTGATTACTTCTTACAGGGAACCCTGTTTCTCCCTGCTTCTTTTAGTCATATTAACTAAGTTGTGGAAAGTACGAATCAGTGTCTTACCCTGCTGTTAAATACTGAAGAAAAATCAGTTAAGTAGCAGGAATAGAAAACTAACATCTGAATATTTGAACCTAGACAATGATTCGATAGTAAGTATATGCTTCACTAGAATAGGTGATTTATGTAGGACTGTCCCTTACATCTTTTCACAGATCAACACTCTAACTGAGACTTTCAACTACATTGAAATTACATGTTATTCTCACTAGTGCCTTTTCAGGACAAGATTACAGAAAGAGGTATAAAGAATACAATCAATGTCTAGTCATTAAAACTTCAATTTAGCATTAGGTAAGTCTCACAGACTGTAGTTGGGAATTGAAGAGCAAGTCCTATTTTACACATCCATCACTTTACCAACATTATAAGCCTTGAACCTATTTTTCAAAGGATGTTCCATCTGCCCTACTTCTAACATTCTAGAACATGTGCGCTCAGCTTCTTGTTTGCTAGGTGATTACTGTATTATATTATACTTCTTGTTTGTTCTTTGCCATCAACTGTATGTGCTCTTTATTTATGTTGAAACTTTATTAATGTTTAGCACATCATTTTAAAGAAACTTGGCAAACTGATCTTTGACAAAGGAGCAAAGACAATATAATAGAAAAAAGAACAGTCTTTTCAACAAATGATGCCAGCCAGGCACAGTGGATCACGCCAGTAATCCCAATACTTTGGGAGGCCGAGGCAGGTGGATCACTTGAGGTCAGGAGTTCGAGACCAGCCTGACCAACATGGTGAAACCCCATCTCTACTAAAAATACAAGAATTAGTCAGATGTGATGGCGTGTGCCTGTAATCCCAGATACTCTGGAGGCTGAGGCAGGAGAATTGCTTGAACCTGGGTGGTAGAGGTTGCAGTGAGCCAAGATCATGCCATTGCACTTCAGCTTGGGCAACAGAATGAGACTCCATCTCAAAAAAAAAAAAAAAAGAAGAAGAAAAGATGCAGGAACAACTAGATGTTCATGCTCAAAAAAAAAAAAAAAAGAGAAAAAACTCAAAAGAATCTAGACACAGACCTTATACCTTCTCCCCCCAAATTATCTGGAAATAAATGATAAACCTAAAAGTAAAACAGAAAACTATAAAACACCTAGAAAATAACACAGGAGAAAATCTAGATGACCTTAGGTTTCATAGGATAACTTTTTAGATACAACACCAGAGTCAAAATCCATGAAAGTAATAATTGATAAGCTGGATTTTATTAAAATTAACAGCTTCTGCTCTATGAGAGATAGTGTCAAGAGAATGAAAAGACATGGAACAGACTGGGAAAAAATATTTTCGAAAGGCAGCTCTAGTAAAGGGCTGTTATCCAAAATGTACAAAGAACTCTTAAACCTCAACAATAAGAAAATAAACAACATAGCTTTAAAAAATGGGCAAAATACTCGAACAAACACCTCATCATAGAAGATATCAAGATGGCAAATGAGCATATGAAGAGATGCTCAAATTCATATGTCATCAGAGAAATTCAAATTAAAACAACAGTGGGATCCCACTACACACCTATCAGAATGGCCCCCATCCAAAACACTGACAATACCAAATGCTGACAAGGATGTAGAATAACAGGAACACTCATTCAGGACATTTGAGCTTTGTTATGTTTAAAATAATGAGTCAACTGGTAATAAAAAACTGGACTTAATTCAAAGGACATTAATATTTAAGATTGTCAAATTGCCCTCAAACTGGCTGGACTCATTTCTGTTTGTCAACAATATATGAGATGTTTTCATTTTCCATTTTATGTAGCATTCCCTTTTGTCTAATATATATAAATACAAAGATTATTCCTGTTCATTGTTTTCTTTTAGGCATGTCTTGCAATACAAAAAGTCCTCAAGTTATTTATTTGGAATTTATGTTATACCTAGAATATTTTCATTTTACTGCTATTTTACTATATTGTATGTAGTGGCATTGTATTCCCATTTTTAATATGTATGCCTGTTATCTCTTTTTTTATTTTAGTTACCTCAGAGATTAATATTTTAAATTTTGTAACATATTTTATTATTTGCTTATCTTCTAAAACAATATTTTTGTGTTATTATTTTAGCTATAATTATTCAGATTTTTCTCTCATTCTATTGTACCATTTGTTAAATTATCACATTACACGCTTGTTAATGTTTATTAAATTGAAAAATTAGAGTTGTTAATTGTCCTCTTTGTTCCTACCACTTTATAATTAAATAATATGATCAACATGATTTTGGATCTTTGAAATTTTGTTGGGCATACTTTATTGTTTTACAAATACTTGAAATGCATATATATGTACCTAATAGCTCATGAGGTCTCTATATATTTATCAGATCATGCTTGTTGATTTTAGCTTTCATATTTTTGTACCCTTATTTATATTTGTGAGCTTAATTTTGTAGCTTCTGATGAAAGTAGATATTTTATAATATCCAGCTTAAATCCAGGTATTTTATAATATCTAGTTTAGTTTTTACTGTAGTTTCAGTTGGTTACTGGGTACACACAAATTCATTATTTTATATATTTTCACCAGATTGCTTTTTCAAAATTTCAAATGGCTTATCCAGTAAGATTTCTGACTTAAATTTTGTCTGATATTAATATTGACACACTATCTTTATTTTTGTTTTGTATTCGAATGCAAATTTTCATCCACTTATTTTCAATGTTTCTGTGTGGCATTATTGTATGATGTTTTTATAAACAGTTTATGACTTGATTTTTAACCCAATCAATATCTCTACCTCTTACTTTTAATGTGTAAGTAAATTTGGTAGGGTAAAAGCTAATATGCTATAACAAAGAGAATCAAAGTTCACTAGATTATACAAGATAGAAGATTACTTCTTTCATGTAACATTCTAGGGCCAGGTAGGCTTCACTCCACAAGGTCACCCAGGGATTCAGTAATATCATGGCTGTTCTACCCTCAGCACATAGCTTCATAGATTGCTCCAGTCATTACCATTTCCAGCCAGCAGACAGGATTGAATCCTCCAGGACATGGGTTTTAAAAAGACCCTGGAGGAACAAACAGCATTTATGTTTGTATACCATTGGCCAGGGCCTGGTTACATGGCTATACTTAGCTGCATGCTTTTAAATGGATGGTGAAAACTCAGGAAGAAGTAAAAGGCTGTGGAAGACAACTAGCTTTAGGCCAGAGTGAAGGTAATACATTTTTATTTGTTATGTTTTTTAAAAATATATATGTTTTACCATCTTGCATTGTTTTATGTCTACCATTATTTTTCATTACTTTCTTTTGTTTTTTAAAATATTTATGCCTTTTTTCAGTTCATTGAGTTGTTTTCTTTTCTGTTAATTCTGTTCACTTTAAAGCTAAATTTTTTATGTTTGTTCTTTTAATATTTTTAAACATTTTCAAACATGCATACTTAACTATACTTACAACGTTTTTAGCAAAGATGAGACTTTTTCAAAGCATCCTTTTCTATTCTCTAGAATATTTAAATTCCCTCTAAGCATGTCCATCCTCATTTTAAAGTTTACCTTTACATTTTAAAAAGATATTAGAATTATACTCAATAATTAAATTTACTGACATTTAAAAACAATTTTTTTTGAGTCCCATAGTTTTTCTTCTTCTGGGTATAGTTTATTACTTGTTGAAGCATTTTCCTTACTTGTTCTCTCAATAAAGATTTCTATTGTGTTAAATTATATTTGTCTCTCTGTGCTGAAAAATCTGTTTATTTTTCCTTACTCTTTTATGCTGGTACGACAGATTTTAAAATTTAGGTAATAGTTGTTTTTGTTCAGTGTTCTGTATATATTTACTAACTCATCTTTTGGCTTTATTATTGCTAGTGTGAATTGTGCTATAATTCTAATTGACATATCTGTGAAGGTTGTCAATTATTTGTGGTAATTTTTTACAACTGCCTCCTTATGTAGTTTCGTGTTCAGTGCTGCTAGTATATTTTTTAATTTATAGCCTCATGACCATTTTCACTAAAGTTCTGATTTTTTGTTTCTTCAAATATTGCCTCTCCACCTTTCTCTTCATTCTCTCACTCTTCTATTTTTAGAACTGCTCTGAGAGGTATATTGGGGACTGCTGGTTCTCTTCCATGTCTCTTAATTGCTCTTTCACATATTTCCATCTTTTTAATATCAATTGTATTCTCAGTGAACTCTTCTATCTCTTTTTGTTCATTTCCATCCATGTGAATCTCTTCTTAGCTAATGTTTTCACAGCTACTTCCATATGGTGTACCAAGTCTCAGTCTAACTGTGTGTTCACAAGGCAAATTAAGTGCTTTACCCTGTGCAGAGACAATTATAGAGCTATCTGTGGCTTCCTTGAATTCCTAGTGAAAAAGCTACCCTTTTCCCTGGGCTTGCTTTCTAAAGCCTTTTAGCTCTTTGTCTGAAATGGACATGGGATTATTTTCTTCTCTTTTTGAGATCAGCCAGTTAGATAGTAGAATGGCAAACCCTAGCCCCTAGTTACAAGTCTCGAAGCTAGTCCTCTTCTTCATCCCAAGTGATAGCTTTAGTTTCCTGGGACCGGGACACATTATGCTCAGAATCTTAGCCCTGATGTTTGCATTTCTATTCTATTCTTGTTTCTGTTATCCTTTTTTAGTTTTATTATTATTATTTTATTTTATTATTTTAAACTTAATCTGTCATATCTATGTGTTTGAAGCACAGGACATGTCCAGTGAGTGACCACACTCTGCCGTCTTGCCTCTCACCCATTTCAATCTGGTTTTCTATGCCCATCAAGACTACCCTGGCTGAGAGCATTGTGGACCTTTTATTACCAGGTTCATGGACACTTTCAGTTCTCATCTTACCACACAGCTTAACACCCATAGAAACAGGTAAACATCACTTCCTTCTTGAAGTTTCTTTTTCTTAGTTTACATAACTACTCTTCTGGTCAGGAATTCCTAGCTGCCTTTACTTATTATTTTTATTCGCTCGTCTTCTAAAGGCCAAGTTGCTTAGCATTAAGTCTTGTGCCCTATTTTATTCCCTCTCCTGCTGTACTATAAGTGAAATGCAGTGGTTTTGCCTGCAGAGCCTTTAGTCAGAGTCAGAGTTGAATCCTGACAGTTACTTAGGTGCTGTAAAATCTTTGTGTCTCAGATTCATCATCTGTAAAATGGATTTGATATTAACCTTTAGGTTAAAAGGTATTTTGAGTATTAATTGAGATAATACATGTAAAGGACTTAGCACAGTGCCTTGATACTCAGCAGATATTAGCAATGGCATTCATTATTTCTATCATTTATACACCAATAACTTCCCAATTTATAACTCCAGCCTGAATTTCTCTGGAAACCTTGAATGCTCCTTCTCACTCCCAATTTGACATTTCCTCTTGGTTGTGCAACCTGTGCCTCACATGTAAGGTGTTCAGAATTAATCTCCTGATCTTTTGCTTACCTGCTCCCCTTTTACTTCTACATTTTAGGGAAAGGCAACTTTCTCAACCCAGTGTTAAAATTCAAACACACACACAGAGTCATTCTTCATGTTGCTTTCCTTTTTCCAGTCATAGTTTAATCCACCACTAAGTCTTACCAGTTTTATTTACATTTTTAAAATGATGTCATTTCTGTTGCTACTCCCACCTCTACAGCCTAGATCAGCATCCTTCCCCACTTTATTAATTTTGACAACTGGCTCAGTTGCCTCCCACCTCCGGTTCTGCCCCCTTCAGTCCATTCTCCTCACAGAAGCCAGAGTGATAATTTTACAAGTTAATGAGCAGAAATGACAGATAACATATACATCGGTTTAACATATACTATTCCAAAAATCATTTTCTATTGATTGTTTTTGAGACTTTGATGCAAATAAGTAGTGTTTTTAATGTGTAGAACATTCCCCAAATATCATATACAAGTAGACTTTTCATTAATGTAGAGAGAACAAACTGAGATTAGAAAATATTACCTCCAAAAAATAAGTGCAATGAAGGCATTTAGATACACACTGAATACACTGAAAAACAAGTCCAGAAGAGATTCAACTGGAAAACTTATATGTTAAGAACAAAAAAAGAGTCATGAGCAAACAGAAAGGAGTCATTGCAAAAATAAGCAAGAGCTTCGCAATAGCTGTGATAGGTATTACAGGGCTAACATTAGGGGGTGAATAATCAGTACATGGATTAGTCTGTTCTCATGCTGCTATAAGGACATACATGAAACTGGGTAATTTATAAAGGAAAGAGGTTTAATTGACTTACAGTTCCACAGGAATGGGAGGCCTCAGGAAAATTACAATCATGGCAGAAGGGGAAGCAAACATATACTTGTTCACAAAGCAGCAGGAGAGAGAAGAATGACAGCTGAGTGAAGGAGGAAGTCCCTTATAAAAGCATTAGATCTTGTGAGAATTTACTCAGTATCTCAGGCATAGTAGGCGGGAAACTGCCCCTATTACTCAATTACCTCTCAATGTGTCCCTCCCATGACACGTGGGAATTATGGAAACTGCAATTCAAGATGAGATTTGGGTGGGGACACAGCCAAATCATATTAGTACGTAAGAGAAGAAAACAGCACAAAGTCAAAGAATAAGTTAAGATTTCAAAATTAAAAAAAAACTTTACCAATGGGTACATTGTATATATAAAGAAATACACACCTAGGCAGATCTTGGAAATTTAGAGAGAGATGGTAATAAGGAAACTATTAATAGTCTTCAAAATGCATCTCAGTTGAAATAACTGATGAATATCAGAGAAACATAATGTGATAATGTATTTTTTAAAAACATTGTGATTCTAAGAAAAAGAATTTTCTGAAGAGAAGCATTTATGAGAAAATATGTTTCATCTGATTTGGAATCTTAGCAATGATATCAAAGATTTGACTACAAAATAAGTTGGAGGCATTCATGCAACACTGTAGAGCTACTAACTGGATTAAATGCAGATGATAATCAGCTATGTAGAACACAAAAACAAATCAACAAAAAAACTGCTGAAACTAATATACCACTATTTCACTGTTATAGGATACAAGGTTAATATACAGATGCAAGCTGCTTTCCTATATACTAGCAATGAACAGTAAAATTTGAAATTAAAAACATAGTATCATTTCTACCAGCAAAACAAAAATAATGAAATACTTAGGTATAATTCTAACAAAATATTTACAAGGTCTATATAAAGAAAACTACAAAACCTATGAAAGAAATTGAAGAAGAACTAAATAAATGGAGAGATATGCTATATCCATGGATAGGAAAACTCAATATTAACAAGATGTCAGTTCTTCCCAACTTGGTCTACAGATGCAATGCAATCCCAATCAAAATCTCAGCAAAATGTTTTGTGGATATTGACCCAAACTATTCTAAAGTTTATATGGAGAGGCAAAAGACCCAGAAAAGCCAACACAATATTGAATGAGAAAAACAGTTTCAGAATTGACACTACCTGATTTCAAAACTCACTATAAGTTTATAGGAATCAAGACAGCATAATATTGATGAAATAATAGACAAATAGATCAATAGAAGAAAATAGAGAACCCAGAAATAGACTCACATAAATACAGTCAACTAATTTTTAACAAGGGGGCAAAGACATTATAATGGAGAAAAGGTAGTCTTTTCGACAAATGGTGATGAGACAACTAGATATCCATTTGCAATAATATGAATCTAGACACACTTTACACCTTTCACAAAAATTAACTCAAAATAGGCAACATATCTCAATATAAAATGCAAAACTATAAAATTCACATAGAATAACATGAAGAAAATCTAGATGATCATGGGTTTGGTGATGACTTTTTAGTTATGACACCAGAGGCACAATCCATTTAAGAAATGATTGATGATATGAACTGCATTAAAGTTAGAAACTTCTACTCTTTCAATGATACTCTCAGGAGAATGAGAAGACAAGCCACAAACTGGAAGAAAGTATTTGCAAGTAATATATCTGATAAAGGACTGTTATCAAAAATATACAATGA
Source organism: Homo sapiens (assembly GCF_000001405.40). NCBI lineage: Eukaryota > Metazoa > Chordata > Mammalia > Primates > Hominidae > Homo > Homo sapiens. The sequence goes on along the minus strand of NW_025791781.1, from coordinate 373,510 downwards.
ATTATTATAACTCAACAATAAAAAAAAACACAAAAGATGAGCCAAAGAATGGAACAGACACCTCGTTAAAGAAGATATGCAGATGGAAAATAAATGTATGAAAAGATACTGAAATTGATGTGTCATAAGGTAAATGCAAATGAAAGCCACAGTGAGATCCCACTACACACCTGTGGGAATGGCTGATATTCAGAACACTGAGGACGATGTGGAACAAGAATTCTCATTTATTGCTGGTGGGAATGCAAAGTGTTATAGCCACGCTAGAAAACATTTTGGCAGTTTCTTATGAAACAAAACATACTCTTACTATCTAATCTAACAATTACACTCCTTGATATTTACTGAAAGGAGTCCATGCAAAACCTACATATGTATGCTTATAGCAGCTCTACTCATAATTACCAAAACTTGAGAGTAATGAAGATGTCTTTAAGAAGGTGAAAGAGGACATAAACAGTGGTACATCCAGACAATGGAATGTTATTCAGTGCTAAAAAGCAATAAGCTATTAAACCATGAAAAGACACGGAGGAAACTTAAATGTGTATTACTAAGAAGCCAATCTGAGTAGGCTACTTATTATCATATGCTGTATGATTTTACCTACATGACAGAGCGGAAAAAACAAAACTATGGAAGCAGTAAAACATCAGTGATTTCCAGAGGTAGAGGGGCAGTAGGGGAATGCATTGGCTCAACACAGAGGATGTTTAGGACAGTGAAAACACCCTGTATGATACATAATCACTCTGTATGATACCATAGTGATGGATAAATGTCGTTATACATTTTTTGAAACTCACAGAATGCGCAACACCAAGAAGGAACCCCAGTGTAAAGTATGGCTCTGGGTGATAATGATGTGTGAATACAGGTGAATCAATTATAACAAGTGTTCCACTCCAGTGAGGGATACTAACATTGAGAAAGGCTAGGCAGGAGTGGACATAGGAAATATCTGGCGTGTATCCCTACCTTCTTTTTATTTTTTCTGTGATCCTAAAATTGCTCTTAAAATCTTTTGAACATATTCATATTGTTCCAATGTGATAAGTATGAATGTACAGTAATGGAGAAAACATAATACAATATAATATGTAAATACTTTTGGAAGGCTAAATTTAAGAATGTGAAGTTTAAAAAATATTAGAAATTTTTCTTTAATTTTGCACAATACAGCTCTGAGCAACAGTATTAAAAGTGAAACTTTTATATGTTTTCACTCTATTTCCAGAGTCCTCAGTCATTTTTATGACTACATCTAAAGGTTAGACATATGTATGTGTGTTTATTGGTGTAAAATTAAAATAGCACTTTTCTCTATGTAAGTGTGTTCAGTTCTGCAATAAATCAAAAGTATAGCCTAGAACTCATTTCCTTACCTTGTATGGCCTAATGGGAACATAGGAACTAAAGAGCAAAGGATTACATTTTCTTCCCACCATAACAGATGGATGCTCATTTGCAGAACAACGATGTGTTCTGAATAAAAAGAAGAAAATTTCAGTAAATGCAAAAAAGATTGGTGTGTATTTTCAGTTTTCTCCATATCTAATTAGAAGTGCATTTAACTGCTGGACAAACAATTGGTATCTGGGTGTAATTATAGACTACTCATAAACACTTGATTTAGTCTTCTTGTTAAAATTTTGAAACAAAATAAGTATATAATGTAATTTTAACTCTGTGGAATAGTACAGTCATCCTTATCTATTTTCAAAAGAATGGGGCTGACCTATAATAATAGTATCAGGAAAATCAAGCCTCAGGATAAATTAAGGCTTGAGAAAATAAATTAAAGGGAATAAAAATCTCCTTTTAGTTTTAATCTGAGTATGAATTGATAATGTCCTACAAAAATAGAAAGCATGATATTCAACTTGTATTTTGCTCCCTTCCCTGTAGAGTAAGCTTAAAATAAAAAAGGTCATAAATGGACTATAACTAGAATGAAGACAGATAAGAAAACTAAAAAAGATGTTTTTTAAAATATTAAAAAAATCTTTTTTAATGATATTTACTTATATTTTTCAATTACCTCTCTCTACAATAAATTTGAGTATGATCTGTAATTAATTACTAATTATCATAGATAAAATGTGAAGATATAGGTATTCATTCATATGGGAATTTTTTTTAAAGATTGATTTTGGGAAAAATGTTGATGAACTTGATTTTGATTCTAGGGAAAAAATTAAGAGGGCATTATTGCTATTTAAAAATAAAATTTATTTCTGTGATTATAATAGAGTACATACTACTATTTACCTGCAATAGGAAATTTGATATATTCAGAAGCCATTAAATAAGAAAATAAAAATAATCCCCAATAACCCATCATTCAGAGGTAAACACTATATTGGAGTTTTCTTCTTGTAATGATATAGTGAGATAGATAAGAAGATATTTACAGCTGTATTTGGTGTGACCATAGAGGGAGAGCTAGTTCATGCCAGTATTTTCTAACCCACAGACAAGGGCTTATATGGTTAAACTCTCAGTAGCTCTGCTCTGGAGTTTTTCTCTTTGTCACAGTACACAGGCTGTAATAAGAACAATCCCTGGTCTCCATCCCCTCCCCATCTCCAGGAGCTCTTGGATTCTTGGCAGGACCCCTTCGGGTTCTCAGTGTCCTCCTATTGTATGGATATCGGTTGGCTGTGCCTCCTTTTGGACCATGGTGGTTTGGACTTGCCCAGGGTCTACTACAGTCACTTGCTCAGGTCAAGGTGGACCACACAGACCCAGAGCATGTGGCAGGCACCCTACCCTGTGCCCAGGGCTTGGAGCTCCTGTCTGGCTTTGCCTCTGCTCCTACCAGCAGGAATATTTCAGCAACAAGTGCTCATTTTCCACAAACATATTTATTCCTAATATTAATACTACAGATTTAGGGGTTGAGTTCTCTAAGATAGCATCAAATTGCACCAATCTTTCTTAATGCAACAAATATAAACTCTGCAGAAGTCTGCTGAAAAGTCCTTTTTTTTTTTTTTTCTTAAAATAGTATCTTCAAAAACTCATTTATGGCTGGGTGCAGTGGCTCACGCCTGTAATCCCAGCACTTTGGGAGGCCAAGGCAGGCGGATCACTTGAGGTCAGGAGTTTGAGACCAACCTGGCCAACATGGTGAAACCCTGTCTCTACTAAAAATACAAACATTAGCCAAGCATAGTGGTGCACACCTGCAATCCCAGCTATTCAGGAGGCTGAGGCACAAGAATCGCTTGAACCTGGGAGGCAGAAGTGGCAGAGAGCGGAGATCACGCCACTGCACTCCAGCCTGGGTAACAAAGCAAACTCAGTCTCAAAAAAAACCACCCAAAAAAACCCTCATTTATCTTTAATTTAATAAGCATACTTAATTATCCATTATTTCTTGCCTGCAATTTATATTTTATTATCAATTTTGTAAGTAATTCTTTATATAACTTGAAAATAAATTTTGGCCTAGAATGTAAATTCTGAGAAGGTGAGAGTTTTTGCCTCTTCTTTCTACCGCTGTATTTTTGGTGAATAGAACAGAATCTGCTTGAAGAATCCATCACTGGCTCGTGAGTGTTAACTGCCATACCCCTAATCAACACAGTAACACATCTCCACCAGCACCCCACATCTCACTCCAGGTCCTCCTGACTCTAATCCTTTTTTTTTCATAGCAGTTATAATTTTGTAACAGAAATATTTGGTTTGGAATGTCTATAAAACCTGCAAATAAGTCGAGTACATGTTAAATATATCCGGAATTTGGGAGGGAGTGCAGGAGCAGGACTGTAGATAGGAATTTGGCACAGAGAAACTGTATAAAGTTCTGAGGGTTGAAGAGACTGCCAAGGATGTGTGTGTAGACTGGTAAGTGAAGAACAAAGACCGAGTCTGGGGTGGGGCAACATGAAGAGTTCAGGGTGAAGAGGAAGGGGCTGTGGAAGAAAGTGAATAGCAGAAGAACCTGGGCGGTAGGAAAAACTGGGCAAGTGTGGGATCTTGGAGGACAAGTGAAGAAAATGTATTAAGGAGGAGGAAGAAATAAATTGTGTAGAATGCTGTTGATAGATCAACTTCAATGATGTCTTTGAATTGACAGTAGATTTAGCAACATAGAAGTCATTTATAAACTATACAAAAGAAGTTTTGGTGGAGTGACGAGTTAAAGGACATATCAGAGTGTGTTTAAGAGGATAAGAGAGAAAAACTGGTTTGGAAATTAAGAGAAGTGTTTTTAATTTTTATTTTATTTTATTTTTTTAAAAGGAGACATAAAAACATATGTGTGTACTGACAGAATGATTCGATAAAGATTTTTTTACTGATGAAGAGGAGACCTCATGGCCACTGGGAGGGATTAGCTTTAGACAGAAACGTGGGTGGTTCTGCAGTAACAGGCAAAAGGGCAGCGTATGTAGGTGGAGGTACCTGTAGGCCGTAGATGTGAAAATGAGGCTTGTGGAAATTCTTTTAAGATTCCTTAAATTTTCTCAACAGGAAACATTAGAGTGAGAAGGGGGATGAAGCTGTTGAAAATTTCAGGGGAGAGGAGAAAGTGTAAAATAGATGTATAAGACAGAGAGAAGGCATAGATAGAAGATGTATGAAAATTGAGGTTGACGGTCATGAGCTAGTGCACATCTGCTTAGTTTTGGTTGTCTCTCCTCCAGCCTCATTCAGCACACAGGCTCAAGTGAGGGGTGGTCCCAGAAACAGAGTGAGCCAGGGTTGTAGTTTTGTCAAGCGATTATGAAAAAGAGTGATTTTAACAATTGCCTATAGAACAGCGATTCCCAACGTCTTTGGCACCACGGACCAGTTCCGTGGAAGATAATTTTTGCATGAACCAGGGGTCAGGGATGGTTTCAAGATGAAACTGTTCCACCTTGGATCACCAGGCATTAAATTCTCATCAGGAGCATGCAACCTAGATCCCTGGCCTGTGCAATTCACAATAGGGATCATGCTCCTGTGAGAATCTAATGCCCCACTGATCTGACAGGAGGTGGAGCTCAGTCAGTAGTGCTCTCCGGCAGCTGCTCACCTCCTGCTGTGTGGCCCAGTTACTAACAGGCCACAGACCAGTCCCAGTCAGCAGCCCCAGGGTCAGGGACCCCTACTATAGAATTTAAATTGGGTAGAAAGTGGAGTGAGACCATTAAGGAGTAATTGCCTGACAAAAATGTTGGTAGAATCAGTAGAATAAAAGTTCCCATGAGGTTGAAAGATTGTTGAGTTCAAGGTACTGGAAGAAATATTTTAAAAATAGGAGGTGGGGTGCATAGTGGGATGCATTAAATTAAAGCTAAGGAGGGTTACAGTGATGGAAAGAGCTAGGGTAAGATCATGGGGGGATGGCTGAGGCAGCAAAGGGAGAAAACTCACTGGAGGAGAGAAGGACAAGGAACTGAGTCCTGAGCATTGAATATTGAAATCACGAAGAGTTAAATAGGCCTAGTGATCCAGGGAAATGAATGGGATGCCGTTGGAACCAGCAGGGAAAAGCCACAGTGAAGAGGTAGAGGTGATTTAATCTGATAACATTATATCCAAAACTGTGTTTTGTTTTGATTTGGTTTGTTATGTCTTGTTTTTGGAGCACAAAGGAAAAGCAGTCTGTAATGAAAGGAAAAAAAATCAAGAAAGGCACTTATTTTACCTACAGGTTTAGCAACATGAAGGTCATAGAAAAGAAAACAAAAACAGACAGCCAATGTTTGAAAGGTAAAGCAGGGAAGGGATAAGATTCTATTAGATCAAGAGGGTGAACGCAACATTGAGAAAACAGGATGATGATATGGGGGACTGTGCAAACTGTATTACACAGGGAACACTGGAAGAGTTTTAGGAATGGGAGAGAGGGAAGAAAGGGCCAAAGATAGGGACTTATGTATCCCATGGAGTTTAGACTGCAGCACATGAGGAGAGAAATGTGGGATCTTATTTGATTTTTTGACATCTCTTTGTATATTCTTAGCACGTCTTTTCTGATTTATATGTATATGCATATATATGTGTATTTATGTTGTGAGTTTCTTTCCAGTCTATTTGTCTTTTTTTTTTTTTGAGATAGAGTCTTGCTCTGTCACCCATGCTGGAGTGCAGTGGTGCGATCTCAGCTCACTGCAACCTCCGCCTCCTGGGTTAAAGTGATTTGCCTGCCTCAGCCTCCCAAGTAGCTGGGATTGCAGGCATGCACCACCATGCCTGGCTAATTTTTATATTTTTTTTTAGTAGAGATGAGGTTTCACCATGTTGGCCTGGCTGATCTCGAACTCCTGACCTCGAGTGATCCACCCGCTTTGGCTTCCCAAAGTGCTGGGATTACAGGATGAGCCTTTGTGCTCAGCCTCCAGTCTATTTGGTGGATTTTACTTTATAGATGGTGTATTTTTGTGTTACTAAGTTTATTTACTTTGTTTTTTTTAAAAAATTTAACACTTTGGCTTTTGGAATTATATTTAAGGAAAACTTCCCTTTTCAAATGGATGAGCCAATTTTCTTAACACATTAATAATCGTCCTCCCACCTCTTGCCTTTAATTCATCCAGAACTCTTACTCTGTTTGATTCTTCTACTTGCCTGTACTTGTACCACAGACATACTGTTTTTATTACAATAACTTTTTAACATGTTTTGCTTTATGCTAGTCTGAGCCTTATTTCTCAGCATTCACACATACTTCAGTTTGCTTTTTTCAAAACTGCTTTGGCAATCCTTAAATATTTACTCTTCTATTTGAATTCTGAGTCATGATATATATAAAACAATCGTGAAGCATAAAGTACTACTTACCACAAGATATATATATTTTAAATATAACTGTATTTCAAATGATATCAGATCTTTTACTTGATGACAAAAGATTGAAAATCGTTTTATCAAAATAAAGACTAAGAAGAGAAAAATATAAAAGTTGTAAAGTACATATGAGAGCCGATGGAAAACTATAACAAAGAAGAATTTTTGAAAAGTGTAAATCAAATGCAACAAAATTAATCGTGAAGCCTAAAGGAACCAAAGAACCTGCAATCCTATGTAGACAAAAATAGATCTTCGGGAAGATGGGTTTCCAAGAAAGTGTGCTTCTGCAGAAAAACCTGACATTCAGAAGGCAGCACTTGGAGGAGGGGGTGCTAGGCAGGTGACGGGGGTAACTGTGGGCAGCTCCCTGAATTTCCCACATTCTGACATTGAGGCTCCATTATTTGTCTAGGAGGCTACTTTAAATTTTGATTTAATTAAAACGGCCTCCAAAAAGTCCACAAACCAATTGTGGATCTCATTGAATTCCCACGTAGGAAACACACCCATGTAACCATCTTCAGATGGAAAATCAGGGCATTTCACTTCAGAGGCCACATTGCACCTCCTCCCAGCCAGGATTTATCCACACAGCTAGCCTTTGTTACAACCATCTGCTCTCCTAGATTAGTCTCTCCTGCTTTTGAAACACATATAAATGGAGTATATAATATAGTATGTACCTTTGTCATTAGTTTCTTTCCTCAATATGAAGTCAGTGAGATTCATTTAGATTAGAGTATACAGCAATATTTCATTCAATGTCAGTGTTGTGTAGGGGTTGACAAAACTCTGTAAAGTGTCAGGTGGCAAATATTTTAGACTCTTTAGGCCATGTGCAGTCTCTGTCGAATGTCTTATTAAGATGTATTTTTTAAACAAATCTTTAAAAATGTTAAAAAAACATTCTTAGCTTGGGGCCCATACCAAAATAAGCTGTGGGCCAGATTTGGCCTACAGGACATAGATGGTCTATTATAGTATTTCTGTTATAGAATTCTATTGAATGAATATTCCAATCCCCTTTTATTCATCCCATTGCCATTGAACATTTAGGATATTTCAAATTTCGGTCTTTTATAAATGGTGTCACTATGAACATTCTTGTGCAGGCCTTTTAAATAACTGCTACCTGCATTTTGTTGAGAACACAGCTAGAAGAGAAACCACTGGATAACAGGATTTGCACATGCTTGGTGTAGAGGCTGTGACCAAATTGCTGTTCAAAGAGGTTGCATCAATACACACTCCTACAAGGAGCGCACAAGCATGCTAGTCACTGCACATCCTTGTCAGCACTTGGTATTATCTGCATTTTTCATTTTAACCATTCTAATGGTTGTCTAGTGGCTATTAATGACTACTAATGAAGTTGAACCTTTTTTTAGGTTTATTATTCATATGGATATCCATTTTTGTGAAAATCTGTTCAAATCTTTTGCCACTTTTCTACTAGATTTGCTTTTCTTACTCTTTTGTAGATATTTTGTGCATATTATGGATATGAGTCCTTGGTTAGATATGTGTATTACAAAGATCTTGCCCACTCTGATTTGCTCTCTTAATGGTGCTTTTTTGATAAACGAGTGCTCTTAAATTTAGTCTAATATAATTTGTCAAGATTTTCATCTCTGTTAAGTGCTTTTTGTGCATTGTTTGAAAAATATATGCCTACTCTAATGATATGAAAATATTATCTTTGTTCCTTGTAAAACTTTATATTTTTAAATCTTTCACCTGAAGACCTAAATTTTCTTTGTTGTTTTTATTATGCATGTGATATGAAGGATCAAGATTCGTTTCTTTCCTATTAATATCTAGTACACCTAGTTACATTTTTTAAAAAGTCATTTCCCATTACACTGAAGGGTCACTTTGCTATAAATCTAGTGACCATGTATATACAAGTTCTGTTCTTGGGGTCCTTGTTCTGTTTCATTGGTCTTTTTGTTTATAAATGCACCAATAGTACAATGTATAATTTAGTATGGATTTGTCAACTCTAGTTACCTTAGGATGTTTCAGTATATGGCATTAGAAAATATCCACTTTTATTCTTCCACACATTGGTCTTAGGTGGTCTTGGCTCTTTTTTTTTTTTTTCATATAAGTTTAAGAATCTGCTTGCCAACTTCAACAAAAACTACCTGCTGGGATTGTAATTAAAATTAAGTTGAATTAATAGATAAGTTGGGGCAAAGCATATGTTTACAATATTCTTGGTGCATCCCAGCCCAGGCCACTCTTGCCACCCGCCTTTCAAACATGAATTTGGTATATCCTTTCATTTACTTAGTTTTTTTTTTTAAGTTTCTTTTAATACTGTCTTGTAATTTTAAAGTAATAGTCTTATACTTAAAGATAAATTTGCATTAGATATTTCTGGTGTTTTCCTATTACTAAAATTGATATCTAGAAGAAAACTTTTCCTTATGTTTGTCACTAATGTATATATAAATACATTGATTTATTGATTAATTTTTGTGTGTTGATCTTGTGTCCAGCCACCTAGTTACATTTAATTTTAATTGCCTATTTTCAGTGTCTTTTGAATTTTGTATATGTACTGTCATAATCTCTGCAAATAGTGATAACTTAATTCCTTCTTTGTAAGCAACATCTGCTATTTCTTTGTCTTATTGCATTGGCTACAATTTCCTGCATAATAGAATAGAAGCAGTCATAGTGAGCCTCCTTAAATTGTTCCTAATTCCAGGGGGAAGCTTTCACTATTTCACCATTCAGTATATTTGTGCAGACATTTTAAAAATATTTTTATCAAACTAAGGGACAACTTTTAGTTCCAGTTTGCAAAGAGTTTTTGTTTTAGTGATAAATGGATGTTAAAAATATTACTACATATATTGAAATAATTGTGTATTTTTTCTTTTTTTTAAAAAAATTTACTTTTCATGTGGAAATAAACTGAATTCCAACTATTGGCTGACCTTGTATTCCTGGAATAAACTCAACTTGGTCATGATGTATTATCTTATATTTATATTGCTAAATTTGATTTCCAATGTTATATACATATATTTTTGCTTCTGTGTTCATAACAAAAATTGATCTATAATTTTTCTGTTATGTCCTTGATAATCTCTTGTGTCAAGTTTGTTCCAACCTCACAGAATGCTGAACTGCCCTCATTTTCATTGTCATAAAAGTTTGTGTATTTTTTTGAAATTTTAATGCTTGAAAGAATGGACCAATGAGGTCATCTGGGCCTATATATTTCTTCATGAGATGAATAGGTCTTTAATTACAAATTTAATTACTTTAAAATAAAGATGCCTATTTATATTTTCATTCCTTCCAATTTCAGGTTTTGTAAATTGTGTTTGCTCTAATAATGTTCATAATAGTCTCTTATTAATTGTATAATGTCAATGGATCTCTAATGATGTTTTGTTTTTTACTCTTGCTGTTGATAATTTATGCTTTTAAATAATTCAGTTTTGTTATATAAGCCTATACATTTTATTAGTCTTATGAAAAAACCAGGTTTGGTTTTCTGGATTTTTTTATATTATGTGTTTTCTTTTTTTAAAACAAAAAACTTACACATAATTTCCTTCCTTGTATTTTCTTTGGATTGAATTTACTGCTGTTTTCTAAGTTTTTGAGATACAGAGTTTGATAATTGATTTCTAACTTTCTTTAATTTCTCATATTGTATTTAAAAATAAACTTTTCCTAAACAAATGTTTAGCTGCATTCTACTAGTTTTACATATTCTCTCTCTCTCTCTTTCTCTCTGTCTTTCTCTCTCTCTCTCTTCTCTCTCTCTCTCTGTGTGTGTGTATATTAAGGCATATATGCTTTTTGGGTTAATATCAGTTTAGAATTATAATATCTCCCTTGTGCATGGACTCATCATTAAAATATCTATTTACTAGCAGTAGCAAAGCATCGTGTGCTTTCTTTTGGTTAGTTCTTGCATGGTATAGTTTTGTCTTTACTTGAAACTTACTTAAATTTTATAATCTTTACTTAAACTTTTATAATTTTTAATCTTATAAAGTATGTTTCTTGGAAGCAGTGCATTGTTATGAAAATAATCTAGCATGACATTATTAGTCTTCTAATTAAACTATTTAGGGCATTTCATTTAATATAATTACTGATATATTTGTCTTTTTATCAGCTTATATTTATTTTATATTTGAACCATTTGTCTTTTTTTCATTTTTCTTTTCTTCTATTAGATTCATCAGGAGATATTTTGTGCAACATTACTCCTCCATTAGATTGTTAGCTGTATATTTTTAAAGAAATTAAAAATCTTTTCTTCTATTTTCTGAATGTATTATACATATCTTTTAAAAAATCTTTGTTCAAAACTCCAATAACAAACTAGACCACTTCTGAAATTGTTTCTCTGAAATTGTTTTTTATACTTCTTTTTTGATCCTTTGATCCTATTTATTGGAGTGATTTGTATTCTAAATGCTGTGCATTATATTAGAAAAATTGTAGAGATTTATAAAGTGTTTTCTTTCTACAGATACAATGGAGTTAACTACCCTAATCCAATTCAAGCCTGAGTTAATGCAAGGTTTTATAGCACTCTATCACTCTCTAATTTTCTCCCATTTCTGGAGTTTATCTCCCTCAGGTGATCCTGAATTATGCTAATCCTATTTTCCTTAGTTCTCAAGAATGTCAGGTTGTTTCTTTAACTTCTTGGTCTTCTGTAACAAGCAGCTTCAGACATGAGAATGAGATTGTGGAGTGGGTGAAGTGTTGAGTTCTCTGACCTTCCTCTTTCTTTCTAGAATCCTGCCTTCTCCAATGTTTTTTCCTAACCCCTCCCTCTAGCTCTGCAACACTGTAACCATTTTTCAGGTTTCTCTGGTTCTTGTCCTTATTTTTCGATCTCAGTTTTTTTTAACTGGGCCTGGAATTGGCAAATGCCCTGAAGGAATGCTGGCTTACCTCTCTGGAAGGTCCGTGTTCTGGAATTTTGTACTTTTAGGTGCTGGCAGGTTCAATATCTCTCCAATGCCCTCAGACAAGTTTTTCTCTGTGCATTTCATCTGGGTTTGAAAGTTGTTTTTAACAGCAGTATTAAATTGCCACAACCAAAAAAAAATCAATATGGGTATTCTGATCCTGGAGGCTCCCAGGTGGACTCTTCATCTGTTAGAAGCAGTGTAATTTCCCTAACTCACTTCCAAGAAACTAATTATTGGGATGCCCACCTGTAAATATAAACCTATAATGTGCTCCTGGTCATCATGGTTTTAAACAAGTCCAACCTTTAGAACTGCTGTGAGATTAATAGAAGTCTACAGTCTCTATCCTTCAGATACTAGATAGGGTGGAGGCAATTAGACAGGATGACTCCCTGAAATCTTTGAGTGTCGTTATTTGAATACTAAAATAAGCTGGAAACCAGTTTAAGACTATTATTTATGCAATTGAGCTCCTTCAACCTGCTTGATGAACAGTACTAATGGGGTCCTGTGTATGGTGTTTTAATGCATTTTTAAAAAGACATCTGGAAATTTCTATTTCTATTCCACTTCACTAACAACATACGACCACTCAAATTAAAAGGAACAGGAAGAGAAGGATCTCATAATTTCTATGATCCACTGAGCTGCTAGCTTGGCAGTGCTTTCAACACTGGAACCTGTCACAGAAACACTGGAATGGGCTCAGCAAGAGAAACTGTGACAAAGTTAAGAAATGAAGACACTGATGAAAATATCAATGCTGGCCAGACATATTATTTGTGTTGGAAAGTGTGGCAGCATCTATGATGATTTGTGTGACTGATGAAAATAGCTGAAAGGTATGATGTTATAAGCATTTTCTCATTTTACACACGTGCACACAGTGGACATAGATGAAAGAATTATCATAAATGTATGGTAACTCACTTGTGTGAAAGGAAGCTACCAAACTCAACTATCAGATGAAATAAACAAAAAACCAAAATGAGTGTGGTTGAGAGTGTTCAATGTTATCTAAGTTCTTTGCTCCTGGAAAGCAGCAGCAAAAGTTAAGAAATTTTCCCACCCTCTTGTGTTCTGAGAGATGGCTAACCTAAAAAGACCACTCTATATTTTGACATAAGCCCTGCCTTCATCATTTCTCAAGACTCACTCATTTATCTGTCTCCACAAAATCCTAGATCTTCTTTCTTTTATTCTGAGAGATTCCTTATTAATGAACCTTTTCTCTATTATAGTAGTCTTAATCAAGTCATCTCCTTAATTATCGGGTACATTTTTGACAACAGAAAAGCAGAGGCTTTAATGAAAATATGAATGTTTTTCTGTATAATGAATGAGCAGAGTAATATGCAAAAAGCAACCTAAATTATTTAAGAAATCGTAAGTAAAATTTCCAAAAGAATATAATTCAAAGGCAGTACTTACATGTTGGTGATCTGGATGATTAAGCTGAAAGGTATTCAAAAACAGTGTAAAAGGAAAAAGAGAGGAAACTTCATGAGAAAAGTGAGATAAGTGGCATGGAACATCTATCGAGAAGCTTCAATATCTACATAATAGGAGTTCTGTAGGAAGAACCATAGGGGTAGAGAACAAACAAAATTCAAAGAATTGATTGTTAAAACATTTCAAGAACCAAGGAAAGACAGGCTTTTAGATCCAAAGGCTTATCAAATGCCCAGGTGAAATGTTTTGGGAGAAAAAATATTCACACTTGGAGCCATCCTAGTGAAATGTCTATGTTTCAAGAAAGAATGCTGAAATCTTTCCAAGTAGAAAATCTTGGAAAGGTTACTTAAAAAGTAGCAATGCACAGAATAGAACCAGCTATTTTAAAGCATAATGTCTTCAAATAATAGTGATAGCTAACATATTTAGCCCAGTCTTTTTTCTAACTTCTTTGTACATGTTTCTCTGAATTTTCTTAACAACTCAATGAGTTGTTAGCCTCTTTTTTTTTTCAGGGAAGGAAGTTTAGATACAAAGATGTTAAATAACTTGCCCACAGACACATAGCTGGTAAGTGGTGGAAAGGGATTCAAGTTCAGAAAGCCTGATTCCAAGGTCTATGCTTTGGACTGGCTTGAGGAAAATGCATTTATGTAGGTGAAACTATGATACAAATGTGAAGGCAAAATAAATATGTTTTTGGATATGCCAAGACCCAGACATTTTGCTGGATGAACTCACATAGGAAGAGCATGCAGACACAGAGAAAAGATCCAGGACTGAGCCCTGTGCGTGTGAATGTTTAGAGGTTGGGCCAATGACTAGCCAAGGAGATTAAGAACAGTGGCCAGAATGGAGAGAGTGCTGCTGCAGACACTAAGTGAAGAAAGTGTTCCAGGAAAAAGGAATGATGCCAATATCAAACACACCTATCAAGCAGAATGTGAGGGGAATTAAAACGCAACCATAGGATTTGGCAATGTTGAGATCCTTGGAGAAGCTGCTAGTAAACCTGACTAGAGTGGATTCATGAAGGGAGGAGAGGCCTTGGGTGAGCAGGCGTGACCTCTCCCTGACAGCAGGTCCATCTGGACTCGTACATGGCAAAGAGAGCCACGTCCAACTTGATAAAAAGTCTAAACTTAAATTACAAGTTTTAAACTATTAGACAAAAGTATGTAGGGATGTATGTATATCTTACAGTGGGACTTTCTTAAGCAAAGAACAAAGTTAAAAAGCTGAACTACATAAAAAGTGAAAACAATTTTAAACAAAGGTAAATAGGCAACGACATACAGGTGAAAGTATTTGCCATCAATAAAGCAGGAAAAAGATTTCAACTTTCAACAAAACGTGAACAAATGAATATAAAAACTTCAAATAAGTTGAAAAATAATTTAAAGCTGAAAACCTAATATAAAGAAGGTGAAATAAGAATATGTAATACAAATACAAAACAAAGAATTCAAAAAACTAAGAAGAAAATATTGGTACATTGGAAAGTATGCAATTGATACTATTTTGTTCATTAGTTCTGAAAAAATAAAGAAAACTTTAAATATGCTAAATTGAGATGAGGTAGGAAAAAAGATTACTCTCATACACTATTGGTGGGAATGCAGGTTGATACAAATTTTTTGGAGCCAGTTTGGAAGTCTTTTTCAAAATTTAATTGATAATTTAAATCTTAGAATTTAGTCCAGCATACATCATTGCTTCTGTGTAAAATGAAGCATGCACAGAAATATTTGTTGCAATATTATTTATAATACTAAAAAAAAAAACTAGAAACAAATTTAATACCAATCTATGGCTGCACAGTTAAATTCACTATGATGTTAGAATATTATGTAACTTTAAAGAAAAATGAAATAAATTACATTGGACACATGAAATGACCAAGCAAGTGTTAAGTATGAAAAAGCAAGTTACAGCATTACTTATTGCTGAAATTTGATTAAAAAAGAGGAGATGTAACTAGCTGCTATGATCTGATTTGTGTCCACCTAAAATTTAAATGCTGAAACCTAATTCTTAATGCAACAATATAACGAGGTGGGGCCTTTGGGAGATGAGTAGATCATAAGGACACTGTCCTCAACAGTAGGACTAGTGCCCTTATAAATGAGGCCCAAGGGCTCCTTCCACCACGTGAAGGCACAGCTAGCAGGGACCATACCTGAAGCAGAGAGCCCTCACTTGACACAAATCTGCTGGGCCATGATCTTAGACTTTCCAACCTCCAGAACTGTGGGCAATAAATTCCATTGTTTATAAGTTACTCAATCTAAGGCACTTTGTTATATAGCAGCCTGAATGGGACTATGACACTAGCCTACTAATGAGGTATAAAAGAAGAATGTCTGTAAATCTACATGAAAAATGTAACCCGTAATGACCTCTGAGGGGTGGGTTGAGGGTATGAGGAAAGAAGAAACAGTGGATCATCATCTCATTTTACTCAAAAGTTCATCGAATCTCTTGATGTTTTTAAATAAGCAATGTTTTATTTTAAATGTTTAAAGGAAGAGTTTTTGTAATTTTAAAAAGACAAAAAACAAAGAATAATTATATTCTTTACATTACAGAATGTACCAAAACCAGTTCTACATGGACACAAGAGATAGATCTAATGGTGAAACCTAAAAGATCTAAAGCATTTTTCACAATCAGAAAGATCACTATAAAGATAAAGCACCTGAAAAATCACTGACTAGAGTACTTGCCTTTTCATTTAATGTGTATGTTTGCATAAACTATGCATGCATATTTTAATATATGCATATAAAATTAGACACACATGGGAAATATGATGACAGGGACAACTTTCTGAATGACAGCTTTTTTACTTTATGTGTATTTGTGTAAAGTTTCTTTTTTTCCAAAGAACAGTAATTGTGTTTAACCATAAAGTAAAAAGTTAAATTAATTTTATATGATTGCTACATAACGTCTAACCATCTGGTGTCGGACAACAGCCTACACATAAGGAACTATGTCTTGTTCAGCCTGACCAAGGGCAGAAGAAAGGATGCAACAGCACAGAAAGAATAGATTTTCCTTGTACCCGTGTTTGCTTTGGCATTATTAGATCCAATAATGAGAACCTGGACTAGGAGACTGGATATTGATTATTTGCATTCTTTGTATTTAGCTGCTGGAGAAGGTGAACTGGGGAGAGAATGGTGTTTGGTCATCAAATTCACGTAGCCCAGCAAGTGGATTTTTATATTCTGAACACTTTCCCTTGAATTGCTCGACTTTTCTGCCTTGGAATTACATCTGTCCCCTGAAGGGGTAGGGCATTGCCCTTTGCCTCTGACCACCCAGTTTCTGGGGAGAGGCGAGGTTACTGCTAAGCCATGTGAATCACAGGCATTTTGTTTGGTGAGTCTGTATTTGGGAATGTCCAGGCAAGTGGTGGGAAAACTGGTTCCAAGTTCATTGTATCCTTGGTTTTTTCTGACCATGATTCTTTCGTTCAATAGGAAACAAGTGAACCTTGACCTTCCATGGGGCAGACACATGGCAGATGCTGCAGACTCAGTGTTGAGCACCTCAGCGGGGAGTGCACGGAAGTTCAGCAATAACTTAATTATAATTCTATCTGATAAAAGCTGCAATGCAGAAGTGTGTTATGGACTGTATTCTGTTCCCCCAAAATTCATGTGTTGAAGGCTTAATTTAACCTCTAACACCTCAGAATGTGACTGTATTTGGAGACTGGGTCTTTAAAGAGGTAAAATTAAAATGGTGCTATTTGGAGGGGCCTTAATCCAATCTGATTGATGTCTTCATAAAAAGAGTTCATATGGACATCCTGAGAGACACCAGGTATGCTCACATACAGAGAAAAGGCTATTTGGAAGCCAAGGAAAGAAGCCTTGGGAGAAATCAAACCTGCTGACATCTTTGATCTTGGACTTCCAGCCTCTAGAGATGGGGTACTTTCTGTATTTGAGTAACCCATCTGTAGCACTTTTGTATGGCACCCCTAGCAAGCCAACGCAAAGCTCAAGGTGCTCTTAGAAGGAGCAAGGATTGCTTTCCACAGGGAGACTGATCTGAAGAATGATTGGTGGTTAACTGTAGGGGTCCTGTGAATGCAGTACAGTGAAAAGATCCTAAGTGAAGGGAGAAGCCATTTAAAGATTTAAACACGACATTCCTATGATCTCTTTGAAACTTTTATAAGTAAATATAGCTACAACATGGTAACCAGTGAAGATCGGGGTCAACAAAAGAGACTGAAAAGCAGTGCACTGGCATCAGGAAACGAAACAAGAAGAGTATGCCTCACTGAGAGCCAGAAAGTCGAGTGGTCAGCAAGGCACCTTGAGATCAAGAGGTTAACTAGATGTTGGAGAGCTTGGTAGCTCTGACTAGAGCTTCTGATGCAAGTGCAAAGTTTAAACCAAATTCAAGTGGCCCAAGGAGGGAATGGGAGTAAGGAACTGGATGTTCTGTTATTAGCCCTTTTGAGAAGCTTGACTGTGAAAGCCATAGGGAGTTTGAACAGCCACTGGTTATTTGGAGGGTGACACAGGGAACTTTGGAGTCCTCTAATACTGTGCAATGGTTTTCAGTGTGCAGAAGCAGCAGCAACATCACCTGGAAACTTGTTGAAATGAAAATTCTTAGGCCCTGCCTCAGACCTACTGATCAGAACCTCTGGGGGCGGAGCCTAAAGAACCCCTGCCCTAGAACAGTCTTTCAGGTTTACAGAAATAGGCTGACTATAGTCAGAAGAGTCCTCATCCCTGATGGAGTTTCCTTCCCAAGTTTTAATGCCTTTAGTTCACTTATTCCTGTTTCATAAATGGAGATATGCAAAGTGCACCCACACTGCCATCCATACAAGAAATAGTAGTGGGTGAGTCTAAGAGAGGTGAGGCTTCTTGCCATAATAGTTTTGGGAGGTTACTGTCTTCAATTATACATTCGAAGAAGTTTGATTTTTTTTTTTTGGTGTGTTTGTTCTTCTCTATCTACTTTCAAATCTCACTTGCATTGACTTAATATAACATTTGTTATGTGCACTCAGTTTATTTGAGGAATTTTTTTTTTGCTTGTATAACCTCTCTCTCCCTCTTACATACAGTAATTTCCCCCTTAAATAATTGCTTAACACTGCTTTCAATTTTAAGCTCTGAAAAACTTACCTCCTTTATATTAATATCTATATATCCATCATCTTTTCATACCCTTTATTAATTCATACTTTTGGAAATTCTGGCATTAACCATTTATGTCTTCTATGGCTTTACTTTTTATTTACTTGTGTTTATCATATCTCTGAATTCAGCAATGTCTTCTTTACCCACATCACACTTCATCACCATTAGCACATGTGATTGATGGTGAAGGATACAGAGAGGACTCGTGCCTGTGTGTCAGTGCAGAGCTTAGCATGTAATCAGAGACAATGCCTGTTAGCCGTTCTTATCATCATGAGGGGACTGCAGCCAATGCTAACAATGGTACCTCACCAGTCTGTGCTCTGCACTGGAGCTTCACTGTTAATTGACTCATTCAGTCTTTCAAACCCTAGTCAGCTTTTTGATTGCATGAACTTGATTTTGTTTAGCTTTATAGGTCTCATGTGCAAAAAGGAAACACCCCTCTTTTGTTCTTTCCTTTCTCAGCAAGAACGATAAAATAACCATAATCTTTTCCCTGTGTATTCAAAATACTCTGACTGAAAACACACTTAAATTCTAGAAAGCTTTATAGTGATTTAAATTACAATGGCACCGTTTTTTTTCTGCTTGTCATTATCTTCCTAGGCTCTGTCACTACCATGGCAACACATACTGTATTTTACTTTGTGTTTAAAAATTGTTTATGCTGAGCCATAAACTAGTTTTGTATGAATATTCAACAATGCATTCCAAGTGGCAAAATGTTCTGAGCCTTGTCTTAAATCCTTCCCACGCTCAACTTTTAAAATAATGCTTTGAAGTGCAGTGCTGATCATGTCGCTCCCCTTCTCAAACCCCATCAGTGACTCCCCACTGTTGATCAAGGAAAGCCTATACCCCTTGGTCTGACTTCTGCCTCCTTTTTTTTTTTTCTCATCACATGAGTAATGCACCAACAGCATAACAAGGTTTGAGGAAGGCACTTCTCACACATGAGCATGAAAACCCAATCATCACGCTTATAAACTACAAAAGGATCAGACTTCTGCCTCCTTGATAATCTTGTCTCAACCTGCCTTTAATGTCTTTCCAACTTGCATCTGACCTCCTAATATGCATCTGAGAATGCCTCGTCTATAAACTACAGATGGCTTATTAAAAACGGCATCAAAAATGAAGACTTGATTGCATCACAGAAAAGAAGTATGAAAATAAGAGGGCAATGACTGTTTACTTTTCCTGCAATTCTCTAGGTGTTCCCTTAATAGTCCAGGGATGGTTGTTTCCCTTCTAATGGTCACCTACCAAAGGGGCAGAATAGAGAAAACCCATCTTATTCCTATTACCACAAATGAGATAAACCATCTCTGAGCCTTCCAGCAAACTTTCCTTAGTATCTATTAGGCAGAGTGTGTTTCACACAGACCACACACCTAGACTGAGGAAGGAGACATTCAGAATTGGCCGAGGCTAATGAGTACGCAGCTTCTGGCTCTGGGAGGATTCCAGCTTTCCACAAAGGACATGAGTACTCAGAGGAAGATGAAGAAAACAAGAGTCCAGTTGTTGAAGATGGGAGGAGATGGCTACTGTGTAGACAACCAATTGTGTTGTTGGTTGTTAGCTGTTCAACTAATGAACAACTTTATTGACATGAAAGACACAGTTGGTTGTCTACACCCTAGTTTTCAGACTAGGGCCAGGTGCAGTGACTCACACTTGTAGTCCCAGCACTTTGGAGGCTGAGGTGGGCGGATCGCTTGAGCCCAGGAGTTTGAGACCTTCCTGGGCAACATGGAAAATCCCCAACTCAACAAAAAATACAAAAGTTAGCCAGGTGTGGTGGTGCACACCTCTGGTCCCAGCTACTCGAGAGGCTGAGGTGGGAGGACCACTTGAGCTGGGAGGTCGAGGCTGCAGTGAGGCATTAGGGCACCACTGCATGGTGGCAGAAAAAGACCCTGTCTCAAAAATAAATAAATAAATAAAAATAAAAATAAACCAAAACTGAGACTAAGAATCATGTATTTCTTTGTCACTACAGTTGCAATACTGGGAGAAGGAATTGTACTTACCCTGGAAAAGCCTGTATAATATATACTCTATCTATTTCTTTTTGAAATCAGATCCCTACACTAGGCCTGAGATACTTGAAGCCACTTATCTCAACTAGGGTCCTTCTGACCTCCTTTAGCTAATGTCAGTCTCTTTCATGGAATCCACCTCCTGCAGGTTTCTGAGGCAGAGCTTATTTGTGACTGATGGGTCCTAGGAATGCTTCTCCTCTGGATGCTTTCCAGTGAGCAGACAGCACTCAGGCCCTCCTACGAGGAGATCAAGCTGGGCCATTCCTTCCACAGGCTTTGGAATCAACTGGCAGCCCAAGACTCCATGACAGTTATTATGCAGCAGCTCCTGAATGTATCCACCTGTATGTTCTCCTATGTTGTTGTTTATACAATTTATTTTCCCTGGATTGCAATTGTTTCCATTCTCCCCTTCTTAAGTCCAAGTGTATATCTGTTTTGTGGTCAAGTAATATTTTCTTTATCAAATGTTCACATGATAAAAACATAAAAAAGAGGTGATTTTTAGGGGATCAATGAAGTTGGATTTTTTTTTGGTCACAAATTAAATAAAAGTATAGGTATAACAAATTTGCACAGAATTATTTTTTATTTTCTTTGAAGTAAATCAATTACAAGTATATTCCTATAGACAGATATTTGTCTTTAAAACTTCGTTTATATATGTAGAGGTATTAACTTAATAAATGCTTTAATGAAGAAAAATATACAAGTTTATACATATTTGACAGAATAACTTGAATTATTTTTAATAGGTACATCTCTAGAAGTGTTTTGTTCTTTCGAGATGTTAGAATTTGGTCATATAACCAACAACATAGAGAATCACTCACATAGAAGAAATGTGATACTAGCCAAATAAATCCCTTGAATTATTTACAAGAAGCATTAATTATTTATCCACTAGTTCAATTGATTTGAACTATAACCAGGAATAAAACATAAGGGCTTTTTGCAGTAGGTTTAGGACTTGAAGAATTTAATCTCTTGAGTATAATAAATGAACTTGTTCTCCATATTACTCCATCTCCAGTCAGCATAGCTTGAGACAAATTTCTATATTAACTCTGTCAATGTTCATATTGTTTAAAATGGCATGTAAAACACACATGATTAAAGTTAAAATTATTATTTTATTATATCATTGAATAATTGAAAACAAAACTATCTATTCACTAATCTGAATAAGACTGAATACAATACCTAGTTATTCTCTTTTACTGGATACCCTTTGTTTTTCAACATAATTGTGTTATTTGTTTACTTGTTTGATTTTTACTCTTTAGAGCCTGTCTAATAAATAGTGTATTTCTTGCAAACACATTTACTTTGAGAAAGTGGGTACCATACACAACATTTTTAAATGCTATCTTTAAATATTGATAATGCTTCCAGGTAAGAGACAAAATGTATGTATTTCATGTTTCCAAATAAAGTCTGTTTCTACTTGTAAAAAGTTATTTTTTTTTGAAAATTTTCTTTTATTGGGTACTCAATGACTAATATATAACATAAAATATTGTAACTTTTTGTGAATTTTATTTTATTAATAAATGAAGACATTGTATATATACTTTCATCTTCCTCTTAAATTGTATCTTCCTAACTAACATGGAACCCATAAAACCAAATGATCCAGTAGTCATTTCTAATGAATTATATGATATTCACATATTTGAATTGGTCCTGGGAATTTATAGTCTGCGATGACTTTTAATCCAGGAAGACTTGATTCACAAGCTCCCTGCCATTCTAGGAAGGTTCCTGTTTTAGTCTGCACTACAGAAGTGCCCCTGCAATCTCCCACTAATCGATCAACCTGAGCTTGCCTTCCCTATACTCATATAATACAACCCAGGGAGTCTTCTGGGGCCAGAAAACCAATTTGCTTCTCTGTGAATCTGTACAATGTTTGAAACTTGTCTGAGTTGACAGTAAAACTTCTCGACTGACAAGGTATGCTGACAGATCCCCCCGAACACACACACTGCACACACACAATCTGATAAATGGGGGGAAAATACATAAAGCTGTGGTAAATACACTAATGGCCTAACTTGGTAGGAGAAGAGATCAGCAATTTATAATTTTAGCAAGAATTTTTTACTTGCTATCTCTATATAAGTGGAGGAAGCTTTCTCCATCTTAATTATTTTTCAAAATGTAGCCGCTGACAAGGTCAACCTTTGGCAGATGTCCTCTATAAAGAAAAATGGTTGCGGTATGTTCTCCCAGAACAGTGCTTTCTGTTGGGGAAGCTTGATAACAAAAGTGCTAGAGTGGAATTTCAGGGCATTTTCCTGTGTGCAACTCAGGAATACTGGTCCAGCAGCTTCCTCTGGTTACTGCAGCCATCAGTCTTCTTCCCTCCTCTTTGTCAAGGAGGTAGTCTTCACCATGGTCCATGTGTCTACCTTCCAGGGATATCAAGCATCTTCTTTTGTCTTAAACCATTTTTGTTACTTCCATTTACAAAGATCACGGAGGCTTACAGTCTCAGCTGAGATTCTTCAAATTTGTGTATTCTTCTGGCATTTGGGGTGATATATATTTAGATCTAGGTCATATTTAAGACCCATCTGAAAACTTTCTCACTATTAGTGGACAAATGCTGCATCTCATAAGATTCCCAGGCGCCTACAAGATCATGGCAAAACTGTGGCTGGAAATTCCAGTTATAATTCCTCCCAGTTGCCAGTAAAGGCTGAAGACTTGTTCTGATTCTTCTGACTATCCTCCCATTGCCTCTGATGGGTTGTGGGTTGTTACAATGTTGTCTCAACACTGAGGTTTGAGTGACTGAATACTGTAATGGGTATATGAAATATGGAACTTAAAGGTTTCCTTCTTTGAGCTAAGCTGGAGGTGTCTGGTAGGCTGCATGTCATGAGTAGGAGGTTCCACTATGTGTTCTTGCAGCACCATATACTTCTCTTTTGTAGCATTACTATTTATAGCACTATTAAATTACTGTCTCCATAATAAATCTGTGAGCCTTATGAAGGCAGAGAATGTACAGTTTGCTCACCACAGCTTCTTTAGTACCTAGACACACTCCACTGAATTAATGTGTGTATGTATGAATGAATGGTTTAGTAGTTCAATGTCTTATATTTTAGAGACTATGGTATTCACATATGTACATTTTCAAACCAGTATCTTAAGTCCTGAAATAGTCCCCACTTATGCAGTCATATTTTAATTATTTGATTACAACTCTAAATACATTTGAGTTATAATAACTCAAATGCAGATATCTCAGAATGCTAATAATTATATTAAATTTTCTTAAATATCAGACCTTGTGAACTACTTAATAAATCGGGAACATATAAATTCCAGGGTTATTGGATTGCTTTCAGACTACTTCATTTAGGCTAACTTATTCAGCAAACTATTTTATTTTGCACCTCCTTTACACTAATAGAGATTAACATATCTTTATATTTTAACTTCTGTTTGGCCCCTTGTGTCAAACATGACACACTGCAAAATACTGGTATGATCCACCAGATTTGTCAAAGGATAGTTGATAGTGCTTTCAACTGAACACACCCTTTGTAACTTTTAATAAAGTGTAATAACATTTTACATGCAGTAAGGCACCATAGCCATTGAAAACACAATATTCTTCCTAGGATCACTGATATAATAACACATCCCTTTTCAGTTACTAAGATTTTTGTAATCATCTCTTACATTCTCGGTTAGATAAAAACTTAAATGCTGTTTGCCGAATAAAAAATTATATATTGTTGATATTTCTCCAATACAAGGAATAATTTAAAATTACCAATCTTTTTTCAAAAATAGCAATGCAAGTGGGGAAGTAAATGTGGCCCTGAATACAGAATAGGTGAAATCATGTCATTACTTTTTTTCATAATCAAATGGCCCTGAAAAAAATAAACTAAACACTCTTCACTGGTTAATATGATTAAATGAAGATAAAACAGAGACACGAACATCAACAAAGTTCTCTCATTTCCTCTGAACCGGCAACAAATAAATAAAACACAGAGGTACAAATGCTCATGGATACTTTGTACAAGAAGTTAGAAGAATAGTAGTGGCTGTTTTAAGTGTAAAAGAGGGAGGAGAGAAACACAGGGAAAGGGAAAGGGAAAGTAAGAGGGAAGAAGGAGGAGGGAGCTGAGGCGTCTCCCGAGTTATGAGCAGCCCTCTCTACATATGAGCATCCAGACACACCCACGCCCACCGGAAACACCAGCCAGCCAGTCACACGGCTAGGGAAAAAGCGGAAATGAACGGCTTTTATGGAGCTATTACTTCCAGGATGTATAATGCATTGTGAATAAGTAATTACTCGAATAAAATCCTAGTTCATTCCAAAATGTTAATCATCTATTTTTCTAGATATATGAAAAACAAGCCTAGTCAATTCTCCTTTTTATTAATTAATGCATGTTTAGACATCTGGTTTAAAATGTTAAGTAAAGGGGCTTGAATCTTTTTCCTTAAAACTGTACTGACTCTGATATGCGAATGTCCCAGGTGGCAAATAATTAGGCACTCTCAAAACTATCGCTCCCATATTTCATTGGTAGGGGCAGGAAGAGACAGATACTCTGTCCATGCAAGTGAATCCCTCTTTCTATGTGTGTTTCTCACATGGCCATGCCACCTTCTCTTTCCGTTTCTCCTAACCAGGCTCAGCCTGCACAAGAGCATCCCTGATCATGCAGAACTGAGTACAGATCTCGAAGGGTGGAAGGACGGGGGTTAACCTCACAACTACCACAGCGCCTCTCCTCTCACATCTCATTTAGGAGTCTTTCTTCTCCATAGTTGCTCCTTTCAGCTTCTTAGCCGCCAGTTCTGTCACCTTTCTCCCTCTGGATTCAGGGAAAAGCCGTCAAAGCCTTCTAGACCCATCTCTTTCATTTCCTATTCTTCCCTCGCCAACTCCATGCAGATTTTCTTCTTTCCAAAGAAAGGCAATTTAAACTATGTTTCCGTCTCCAGCTCTAAATTTTGCATTCTTCCAGCCCTATTTAGCGATATCTTTAAAAAGAGGAAGTAACTAGGAAATATGGAGCTTACTTATGAAGCCAAAGGACTTGGCCTTTGCTAGGGGATACCATTCTGAGCAGGCAGTGGAGCCATTTAAATGCAAACACATGAGGCTGAGTCACATGCAGTGACCAGTATTGGACTGATTTTGACCTACAGTAATGGAAACTTCATATGGTCAACCGAATACATATATTTTTCTAAGTACAAGTTTAAATTCAAAATGAAATGCTTATTGCCTGCACTAAGCCATGGTGGGGCTGATAGAATTCTGTCAGCTTTAACATACACAGAGCTGTCTGTAGGAACCTGAGCGAATTGCATCATCATCACAATGTTTACCTCCTTAGTTTTCCTCCTTGGTGAGATCTGTTAACAGAAAAGCTATACTCTAAAATATTTTAGAAAAGTTTATTTTAAACCTCTTTTAAATACACTATTTAAAATATGGTGGTCAGATTACAGTTTGGTTTTATACATTTCAGGGAAGCAGGAGTGACGTAAGTCAGTATGTAGAATGTATACATTGGCTCGGCCTAAAAAGGTAGGATACCTTAAAGTGGAAGCTTACAGGTTATAATTGGATTCAAAAATTCTTTAATTTTCAGCTGGTTAAAGGAGTAAGACTCTCTCTAAAACTTGCTGTCAGCAGAAAGGAATATCTAAGATTAGGATCTTAAGTCAGAGTCAGCCACAAGATGCTGGGTCAAAATGCCTTGTTTAGCCAGACTGATGGCCTGCAGGCAGGACTTACCCTGGTCTGGCATCACCTTACATCTTGGTTATAATCTGGTATCTTATTGTCACATGAAATCCATTCAATTGGTCTTATAATATCTATTTTAACATTAATTCTGGGCAGTTTTGTCTAAACTCCATAAGGGGGTGTTATAATGAGCTGTATCCAACCTCCCTTCCCATCATGGCTGGGAACTCATTTTAAGGTTTCTATGGGATCCCTTTGGTCAAGAGGGAGCCCATTCAATGGGTGGGGGACAAGGATTTTATTTGCAACTCACAGGTCTTCCTGTCTTCCGTGGTCCACAGTCCAGAGGACACAAGCTTCACTTAACCAGACATCCTGACAACAGCCCAGAAGGGTAAACACTATTGGCTTTCTGTATTGGTGATATTCTTTGAGTTCTCTTCTGCTATCTGCATCCAATTTTCACCATAAGCTGTAACCTAGCAGGTAGAATTAGCCTTGAAAAAATTATTTAAAAATATGTTATTTAAAACACTTTCTCAATACATTTTATTTCTCACCTTATCACCACGGTGTGATAATGGCCCCTGAAACCATTTCCTTCATGGCCTTTGCTTCTATTTAAAATTATTTTGCTTGTTTGTATTTACTTTTATTCACAGTACTCACTGTATGTAATTCTCAAATAAATTCTCTGAAAGAAGAGATTTTTTTGTCTTATTCACTGCTAATGTTTTAGCATCAAGAACAGGACTCAACAAAGATGTATCAATGGATAAGTAGAAGATTAATTGGCAAATACACTGACTTCCACGGGGAGATGAGTATCCCTAGGTGGTTGGTAGACCTGCCTGTCGTCCTCCCCACCCAGTGTGCCCACCACCAACCCAGCCACTAAAAACCAGAAGGAGACTTGCACAACATCCATGTGGAAAACGAGTTTCTCCTGCCTCAGCCTCCTGAGTAGCTGGGATTACAGGTGCCTGCAGCCACTCCCAGCTAATTTTTGTATTTTTAGTAGAGATGGGGTTTCACCAAGTTGGCCAGGATGGTCTCGATCTCCTGACCTCTTGATCTGTCCACCTCAGCCTCCCAAAGTGCTGGGATTACAGGCATGAGCCACCGCGCCCGGCCCATAGTAATTGGTTTTAAAAGCTCATGCAGAAATGTAGAGAATATGCTGTTGGTGCACATACAAATATGCATGAGCATATACATATAATATACACATAAAAGATATGTACAATATATAGTACACGAATGTATATATATCTCATATATAGTATATGTATATATAAATTACATATGCATAATAAATACAAATGTATAACATGTATTTCATATGTACATACCTAATACATATACATATGCATATACATACAATTGCAATGAGATTAAAAATTAATCTAAAGACATTAAAAATTGAAAATTAAAATTTTGTATTTTTCTTACTTATGCGTTGAACATACAGCATCACGTAATGTAAAAACAAAGCAAAATTCTGACTTTTTAAAAATAAAAACTGTAATCTTACCTCAATATTTTGTGTTTCAGCAACTGGGAGACCAAGCCTGCCTCCCTGCTAGACTTACTCCCTCCTGCAGTTAATGTAGGAGAGAAGACAGATGTTGTAAATCACCATGACTTTATACCTCACTTCTCATGGCTGAAGGTTTAGCATTATCATTTCCATTGGAAACAACAGAGTTAAGGAAGAAACCAATAATTTTCCCCATAAAGGGGATGAAGGAAGTAATCAAAGGAAGTGACATTTTGATTGTTCCTTTAAAGAGAAGCATATTTTTGACACGTTAAATGTAAGCAAAAGTACATCTCAAGCGCTAATAACCACATGGCTAAAAGCAAGGAGGCATACATGTTTCTGGCATCTTTAATGATCACAAAATACTACTAGTGGTAACATTTTTGGAAAAATTACTATGTGCCAAGCCCTGTAATGACTGATTCACTTTGGATTTCACATAAATCCAGCCCCCCAACATGGTAAGAATATTTTTCTTCTTTCTAATCTCTATTTACGTCCCCTCCCGCATCCTGCTTTAGGAAAAGGAATAGCTGCATTTGGCAAACTCTGCAGAAATGTTAAGTGAGATGAAATGAGGAGAGACTTTTGGATGGGGGCATTAGTCAGTCTCTTTTTCCTTTCAAGACACTGGGAGGTGCAGATCGAAGGGAAGCACTCACTGATGGGAGGGAAGGTTTGTTGAGGAAGCTCATCACTAAAAGCCTAAGAATAGTAGTTTTTTTATACTGAAATTTTAGGTGCATTTATTAACTACCACTTATGGCAAAAAGGCATTAATTGAGTGCCCACAAAGTGCAAGGAATACTAAAAAAATTCAACATGATCCTTGCTCATAGAGATCTCCTGGTGGGGACACTGTGTTGCACGTTGTTTGGTGAGCTATCTGTTCACATGCCTGGCTGGCTGACTGAATGAGGAGTTGATGCCTGTGCACAGAAGAGTGCAGAATGGCTTTGTGGGCATTGAGCACAGAGTCAAGACCAGTTAGAACCTCTATTTGCAATGAAATGAGCAGATACATGTGTTTTATATCTGACCAAAACAAAAAAAAAAGAATATTTAGAAAGCATCTCTGCAGGTGATGTAGTTTTTGTTTGTTTTTGTTTTTGTTTTTTTTTCTTTTCAGATAGAGTTTTGCTCTTGTTGTCCAGGCTGGAGTCCAGTGGTGTGATCTCGGCTCACTGCAACCTCCGCTTCCCAGATTCAAATGATTATCCTGCCTTAGCCTCCCAAGTAGCTGGGATTACAGGTGCCTGCCACCACACCCTGCTAATTTTGTATTTTTAGTAGAGATGGGATTTCACCATGTTGGTCAGGCTGGTCTCAAACTCCTGACCTCAGGTGGCCCACCCCTCTGCCTCCTAAAGTGCTGGGATTACAGGTGTGAGCCACCATGCCCGATGTAGTTTTAATGCCAGTTTTTGCATTGCATGCTCCATTACTGGAGCCTGTCCCCAGATGAGTACCTGCTTGCCCAGAGCATGGTTACAGAGGCTGCACTGCAAGGGAGACAGTAGTGAGGATGAACCACTCTGATCATTTATTTTGGTCACATGGAGGTGAGAGGAAGGAAACGTTGCAAGAGGGAACAAGATATCGCTAATACAAAAATGCTTCTTTTTACTTGTCAGCTGAGATTCCATGTGCAGCGAGGTTTCGTTTTCATCACACAAATGTTTGAGGAAGAAAAATTCCTGACAAGTCATATTAAGGATGTAATATATTTTATTAAATATTAGTATTTCATTAAAGAAAGAAATGGTAATGTCAAACATTACATGAGAAAGAAAAAAAATAGCTCAATGCAAATGAAAATTTGATCAAATGCATACAAATTAGAAACATTTTAAAATATGTTAATTAAAATTACAGGCTTTATTCCCATTTCATGATTTACTGTCCTGGAGTGCTGTTCACATGTAATGAAGGAGGTACTATTAAACAAAAGTATTGAAAAATAAAATCCCATTTACTCACAGGCAGTGGTCAGAATTGAATCACTTTGCTCCAGATTCCCGACTGCAGTACTTGGCAGCTGTTATTAAGAGCCTCATGTCCTTTCCTCATGTCTTCCCACAACTCAGTTCTTTTTCTTATTGTTCTCTGCATGCCAGCCGATGCACTTCATCATTCTTACATCTGAGTCATCAGCACAGAACAGGGTATTCTAGGTGCAGGTCAGCAGAAGTGTCCTGAAATGGAGCATAATGTTCCTGCTTCATGACATTATGTCCATATTGTAGCTCAGAAGTGTATTAGTTTCCTTTTGGCTCAAGTCTTCAGACAAACTAATATGTACATAATTTGGCCTCCCATAAAATCGCAACTTTTAGAACTTTGCCAGTATATGTTAACATATTAAAATTTACATACTCTCAAGTAATCACATGAATTATCTATTGTTCCAGGCATTTGAAATCGTATAGGTTAGCAAGGAAAATATTTTGTATATTAAGTATATGACATATATAATTACATACTAAATTAAGAGTGTTATTTTTGCTGTTGCAAAAATACTATATATGATGAGTGTATTAAACAGGGTAAATGCACATAAATTTTTTCTTTTTCTTCCACATATAGAACTCCCTTTGAAGATTGGCAGTCTGGCAAGGGAGATCATTTTCCAAACTCTTGAAAACGTGTGAGGACTCATGACCTGTTACATCAATGGAACATGAAGAGAATTGAAGTGTATCACTTCTGCGCCAGGGAGCCTAATGGAAGAGGTGCCCATCCACCCTCTTTCCTCATCCGACAGCTGGATGGAAGGATACCAAGGCTTTAGGAGAAGGCAAAGCCCCGTGATGGGAGAGGCCTGAGCACCTCACAGTGCGTGGAAGCCAACTCCTCACCAGGAACACATGCAGTGGCCCTATGTGTGCAAGGCATCCATCTCCATTGTTGGAGCTGACCTTTTGGGTTATTTTGTAATGGCAGTTTACATTACCTTGTTAACACAACAGAACACTGTCAAAGAAATGCTCTATGGTGCCAACCCACTATAGCCCTTGAAATAGAAATTACATATCAGTCAAAGGTCTCCAGAGAAACAGCAGCAGTAGGATAGATGTGATCTTCACAGATAGACAGACAGATAGATAGATAGATAGATAGGCAGATAGATAGATAGATAGATAGACAACTGGACACAGATAGATTGACCACAGACAGAGATAGAGATAGATAGATAGATAGATAGATAGATAGATAGATAGATAGATAGATGATAGATAGATAGATAGACAGAAAATGAGACACAGATAGATAGACAGACAGAGATAGATAGATATAGATAGACACAGATAGAGATAGAGATAGACAGATAGATATAGATAGGTAGACAAATAGACACAGAGATAGATAGATAGATAGATAGATAGAAATAGAGAGATAGATGGACAGATAGACAAATAGACACAGACAGATAGAGATAGATAGAGATGGACAGATAGAAAAATAGACACAGATAGATAGATAGATAGACAGATAGATAGACAACTGGACACAGATTGACCACAGACAGAGATAGAAATAGATAGATAGACAGACAATGAGACACAGACAGATACACAGACAGATAGAGATAGATAGATAGATAGATATAGATAGACAGACACAGATAGAGATAGAGAGACAGATATAGATAGACAAATAGACACAGAGACAGATAGAGATAGAGAGATAGATGGACAGATAGACAAATAGACACAGATAGACAGATAGATAGAGATAGACAGAGACAGATAGAAATGGACAGATAGAAAAATAGACACAGATAGATAGATAGGTAGATAGATAGATAGATAGGTAGATATTTTCAGGATCAGATTGGCTTATGCGGTTGTGGGACTGGCAAGTCCCACATCTGTAAGGTAGTCTGGCATCTGGGAACTCAGCAGGATTTCTGTGGTAAGGTCTGGAGGCAGAAATCCTTCTTCTCTGAAAACCCCAGTTTTTGCTCTTAAGGTCTTTGACTGATTGAATGAAGCTCATCTGCATTATCAAGGATGATTTTTATTTTACTTAAAGTCAATTGATTGTAACATTTATAAAATGCCTTCAGAGCAGCATTTGGATTAGTGTTTGACCAAAGAACTTGACCCCATAACCTGGATGAGTTGACACATGAAGTTAACCATCTCATCCCCTCCCCCACCGGCTCACACAGAAGGCCAACTTCATCCTTACCTTTGATTAGGTAGGAATGGGCACCTGACCCTGGGAAAATCCAGCTGAGGCCAGCAATGTACATCTTGTGACCTAAAAGGAAAAAAGTATATATTGTACCCAAAGTATTTTTTGCAGTAATTTTCAGTTGGGAAATACAAAAGCTGGTAAGCAACCAGGAAGGCAAAAGGCAGAAGCATGTGTAGCTTTAAGCCAGGGCCAAGACAATCAAATTTACGTACCAATTGGCATTATGAGAAAGCAGCAAATAAAAGGTTTTCAACTACTGAAAAGGGCGTGGCTTCAGAGAGCATCAGAGATGACATAAGATAAAAATGGAGACACCAGGAAAAAGGATGATGATGCTGTCTCAATGCTAATTGCAGCTTCCATGAAATCTATCATAATTGAAGCTTTATTTTCAAATAACCTGTATATCCTGAAAGTAACTGCTAGTGCCCAACTAGTGATGGCTTGAGTATCTGCTTTTCTTTTAAACAAAAAGCCCTAAGAGAAGCCAATAGGAAAACTTTGCTAGAGGAAGTGTTGTTTAATCTCAAGTTTGAGAAATAAATGGGTGCAGTAAACAGAGGCAAAAGTTCAAACACATTGTGCATTTTCCTCCCATTCCAGTCTGTGCTCCACTTTGCAAGGAAAAAGAGAGGGAAGGTCCAAAAACGAATTCCGAGGGTATGATTTATGCTGTCAGCAATGGGAAGCCATTGAATAAATTTTAATCCCTGGGAGATAGATAATACTCTGTTAACACTGATTAATCTTGAGTGAGTACAAGGTAGAGGTCATTCAGTTTTCACTTTAAAAAATATTGTATTTATTTATTTACTTATTTAATTTAATTTTTTTTTTGAGACAGACTTTTGCTCTTGTCACCCAGGCTGGAGTGCAATGGCAAAACCTTGGCTCACTGCAACCTCTGCCTCCCGGGTTCAAGTGATTCTCCTGCCTCAGCCTCCTGAGTAGCTAGGATTACAGGTGCCCGCCACCACACCCAGCTAATTTTTTGTATTTTTGGTAGTGACCGGGTTTCACCATGTTGGCCACGCTGGTCTCGAACTCTTAACCTCAAGTGATTCACCCGCCTTGGCCTCCCAAAGTGCTGGTATTACAGGCATGAGCCACTGTGCCCAGCCCAGTTTTCACTTTTAAAAATAATTGTCATTGGATTTTCTGTGAAGTAAGCATGTATTTTTTCAGTAAGTGTAATCAAAACAAAAATTGCATACTTATCTCTGTAAAATATGATACAAAGATAAAAAGCAAAAAAAGAATGATAAAATGTAAGCAATGCCTTTAGAATTAATGAATGTAGATTCAAAGCAACCAAAATGTCAGATTTGATTTACTTAAGATCTTTCTGGAATGTGTGGCTAGATTGTGGTGGTGTAGAGATGCACACAAGCTAAGGCATGAGTTAGAATTGGCACCACAGTCTAGGCTGATGCAAGGCCATGGAGAGCCAGTCTGGTTCAGGGCTGGTCCGGAGGATGACAGATACAAAGCATGTCAGATAGGCTTGATGATGCTTCCCACCAGCTAGAGTGTGGGAGGAATGACAAAGGGAAGCTAAACATGGCTTCCAATTTCCTGACTTCAGCAATTAAGGTGATATTAATTATTTCTCTCAGAACATAAATGCAAATATGTTATGGATAGCTTACTTCAAAAGAAAATGCAATAGGGTTGTTTTGAATTGAACAGACACATATAAATTCTCAAGTAATTAGGAATAAGAACTGGAATTACAAACGTTTTAAAAACATTTTAAAAGATTAAGAGAGTTGCCCTCGACGGTGCTCTAAAATCTTGTTTACGAGAGAGCATATATGGGGGTTTATGGTTGTAATACAAGGAGGAAAGAGAGAATACAACAAGCTGCTCCTTGCTTACTTTTTATTCTTTTCAACAATTCCAGGGAATTACTGGATATTGAGTTGCTTGGATACTGCCACGTGAAACGCAGACCTGCTGTGACCCCCATTTAAGTAGTGGAAGTTGGAGAGCTGCACCTCTGGAGTTGACTGTACCTCTGGAGTTGGCTGAACCTCAAATCAAACTGCCCGAAACCAGAGCTCTAACGCTGACAAGTTACATATGTTCTGCTTGCTAGTGTCTTGATTGGAACACATTTCATTTTAAGTCATCTACATTTAACATAAATATTTAATCAAAGTTGTCAAGTGTGCTTTGAAGTATCAGGCAACAGTCATTTTTCAACTCAGGTGTCTAGACTAATCAAACTTTAAGAAAGAGTGCAACATTTATAATGATACCATCATTTTATTGAATCATTCCAGCTAAATTTGATTTCAGTGCAAAAATCACAACATTTGCTTTTCTCTGATAGAAATGCAGCTCAGAGTTATAATTTTCTTTTTGATTGAAGGGTATACAGCTTGTGGTGTTTGGGGCTCCAAATGAAATTCAAAACTATGTGACTCTCATTCAGACCCATATTCTGTGACCCTTCCTTTAAATTGAGAAAGGAAAGGGGAAACTTTTTTCACACTAATTCTCTACCTCCCCACTTTTGTCAGGCTAAATTTCTGCTCTGCTGAAAGAGGTAAATCTTTTGCTAAAGCTGTTGAACTGCACAGATAATACCTGCAAAATATTATTCTCGAAATATCAAGAGAATGATGTTATTGGAGGTTGTATCATCCTTCACTGAGTCCCAGAGTTGAGGTGAAGATTAAGTTAGATGATATACATGGATGCTATTGATGGAATCACTATTAGAAAAAAAGAAACTATAAAAACGTTCAACTTCCATTACAATGTTATTGAAAACAGCATTTGTTTGTTTGTTCCACTAACTTTTCTAAAATTCTTTAAAGAACATATTTGATTATATTGAGACATACACTTTTTGATATTGCCTGACTCATAAAAGAGGTACCTTCGGACATTTTAAAAGTATACGAGTTTTCAGTACTAACAGATTGTTAAAACTGAGTTGCTTTGGTTTGGGGCAGAATTTTTATTAAATAGTGGTAAAAATGAAAATCAAAAGAATATTTTCAAACCTAAGTAGAGAAGGTCTGGTGTAATTTTCCAGCAATAAGTCCCAGGAGAAAGCCTTGCCCAAGATTTAGCCATTGGAGCAATTGCTTACTCAAGGTCTTGGTTTTTTTCTAGCCCAAATGTATTTCTGTGACCAGTGCATGGGCTAGTGTGACAGGAGGCAGCCAGCCAGGTAAAGCTATGACAGTGAAGTAATGACATCAGGTTCAGAGAAGGAAAACTGCATATACTCATGTGGAACAACCAGTAAATAGATCAGATCCCAAACAGCATTATTCACAAGCCACATGCAGAGGACATATGCGGAAGATGTGCTCAGCGTTGGGCCACATGTTCTATCCTGCCAGTTGCAGGCATTCCTGCTCAGTCAATTGAGGTCAGTTGCTTTCCATCAGAGGCGAGTCTGGCCATCAGGTCTCCAGGAAGTCGTGTGAAATCAACAACAGAAGACAGAAGGTACGCTGGTGGCATCTGTGGGTTCTAATGTGCAAAACTCTAAAATCCAAATATCTGGAAGTCCAGAATTGTCTGTGTAAGTTTGAGGCAAAGTTGAAGAGGAGACCAGATGACTAAGAGAGGGTAAGCTGGTGTCACCAGGTCAGGAAACAAAGATGGCGTGGCAGTAAGGGTGTGTCCTCCAGGGCTGGGGCTGGACGGATGTGGAGCGGAGGAGTCACAAAGCTGGAAATGCACGCAGCCAGATGCTAGGTTTCAAAAGGCGACATGTTTTAAGATGTGTTATAATTTTGTTGACCAGTTTGAAGCTGTTTTCTTTAAATTGTGTAAGCTTCGGCGGACCCGCTAAACCTAGACACATTCCTGAGTACAAGTGTCTGGAGAGGACTGGATGTTTGCGGGATGAGAATAAAGCAACTCACATCAGACTGTAGCCTCTTAAGGGCAAGGCATCCCACCAGTGCCTGTTAACAGCTCGCTTCTACAGAGACATGATGTGGACATTGACTCTATCTGTAATGTATTTTGTAATTTAAGTTAATATTTAGCATTTTTATCAACCTTGGCTTGAGGACGTTAGGCCACAGTGGAATGGCAGATTTAAAATAATGTACAACAATACTAGGCAATTTAGAGGAAACATTTTATTTTCCATTATTAAATGTAAAGGAAAGGATGACTGTTTCTTATCCAATGCTTAACACCAGAAGTATTTTGAATTTTGGATTTTTTTTTTTATTTTGGAATGTTTGCATTATACTTCCTGGTTGGGTATTCTGAATCCAAAAATCCAAAATCTGAATTGTTCCAGTGAGTATTTTTTTTGAGATCGTCTTGTCAGTAGTCAAAAAGTTTAGACTTTTGTAACATTTCAGACTTGGGTTTTTTGGATTTGGGCTATTCAACCTGTACCAGTTTTGTACCTGCTACTATCCTACAATCTCATATCTCCTCTTCCCTTGTGTGGCCAGCAGACTATGAGTAAAAATCCATGGGGTATTTCTGTGTTCACGAATTTGGGGAGATGATTCATCCCTAAAAGACAACTCAAGGCCTCTTCAAGAATCCTCCAACTTTCTCATTTCCTGAAGTTCTATATATTTTCATTTGCTACTGAAAAAGCAAACTAAATTTTATGATTTGCTGTTTATTGAAGCATGTGTTTTTCTCTGGAACATTGTTTATGAATGTGTGTGTATGCATGGGTGTGTATAGTTTACATGGGTATGATAGTTTACAATGTACAATTTGCTTGTTGACTTATGTTTGTGTATTTCTACTTTAATAGTTCCATGGAGCAGAGGTCTTAATTATATCAGGCTGATTCATACATTTGACATTTTGTATTTTACACAAACTTAGTGCTAATGGTGATCTATTTTTTTCTTAATTTTAGGTCACTGAAAATTAGATTTGATTTTCCTAGTTCAGAGAGTAACTCCTTTATCAAGTTTGATATAAGGTGTTTCTTGGTATCAAATGAAAATTATTAATATTGGCCTTATACCTTTAGAGAATTGAGTTTTGGAATTTAATAAATATTTTCAAAAATCATAGGTAGATTTTACCAAGTATGTGTATACACAGCCCTATAAGATTTTGTTACTGATGCACTTTCTAAATGGCTTATTCCCATGCATTTTGAGAATGAAAGCTTTAGAGGCATTAAAAAAAAAAGTAAGCAGCAGAATCCTATTGACTTCTCAGCCAAAGATGAACTCATTTTCTTCAACTCCTAATGCTCACTGACTAAAAGCCATTTTTTTTTTTTCAAAAATCAAGGACTAAGAAAGGATGTTTTTCAAGAAACACTGCAAGTTACAGGTTAGAGAACATTTAATCAATCTGATGATTGGAGATAATCCTATTACAACAGCAATCTTATCTTGGTTGTTTCCTAACAGGAATGAAAGAAAATCTGAGTGAAAAACACTCCCAAAATTTAAATGATAAACTTACATTTATTGAAATAGTAACTCAAAAAATGGATCGAAGTTGATGAGTATTTTGTGCTAGTTGCTAGGGATACAAAGATGATTAAAATAAACTCATATTAAAATCTGTTAAACCTGTAAAATAAAATGGATTAAAATCCGTTCTTCGAAGAGTTAGATAAATACACAAAATAATAATTAGTGTAGGAAAAGTGACAGTTTTGCGTTAGGGCAGGTGTGTAGGGGAGCACTTCTCAATTTTTTCTCTAGGTTTCTCACTTACTCTCCAAATGTCAGTGTGCCTCAGGATTTTATCCCTGGCCATTTTCCCTTTACGGACTATTAGCAAGTCTTGTGTGAGATTAGTCTTAACTGGCAGCTATAAGCTGAGAGTGTCCACATCTTTATCTCCAGCCCAGATTCCCTGCTAAGGGCCAGCCCCACGTATTCCACCTTGCATTAGCCATCTGCCAAGTAGACAGCCTAGACCCCTTTCATGTTCATAATGGAGAAACAGAACTCATCATGCCCAATTCTGTCTCTCAAATTTATGTCCTCTCTGGTCTCAATAATTTATTCATTCTACACAAACACACACATACACACACATGCATGCACACATGCACACATATATAACTTAAGTCAGATCCAGAATAATTTATTAAGAATAAAAGTTTAACAGAACAAAATATGCATTCATGGAGCTTATAATTTTTTTACGCACAAAACTAAATTATCAGTCACTATTCTGATAAATAATTTGAATTGTGGAGAGTTCTAATCAAGCCTAATCAAGACAAGTAATAGTCATCCAGGTTACTTAGCCAACATATTACTAGCTTTGATTGGGAAGTGAAGAAAGAACTCCTTAGTAAGTTATATTCCAGTGATCAATCATCCCCCATCATATTTTATTATAATTGCAGCCCTTATCATATTTGTGATTATTTTGATAATTTATTTGTTTACTCCAGTGGTTCTCAAAGTGTATCCCATGTATTCACAACACTTTTGACAGGTTTACAAAAATTGAAAACAATTTTTAATTATACTAAGCCATCACAGTCTGCGATGGCTCAGTGCACGTTGGTGCAGCGGCAGCAAGGTGTACTAGCAGGTCATTGAACTCTTCATTGGCGATACTTGCAGGAAAACAAACAAATAAATGCATAAAACCAGTTTTACTTAAGAATGTCTGTTGGCTGTGAGCGGTGGCTCACGCCTGTAATCCCAGCACTTTGGGAGGCCGAGACGGGTGGATCACCTGAGGTCAGGAGTTCAAGACCAGCCTGGCCAACATGGCAAAACCTTGTCTCTACTAAAAATACAAAAATTAGCCGGGCATGGTGGCACACACCTGTAATCCCAGCTACTCGGGAGGCTGAGGCAGGAGAATCGCGTGAACCTGGGAAGTGGACATTGCGGTGAGACGAGATTGTACCACTGCACTCCAGCCTGGATGACAGAGCAAGACTCTGTCTCAAAAAAAAAAAAAAAACAAGAATATCTTTTGATGAAGCACAAAAAGTTAATTTCACTGTATTTTGAGCTATTAGTACCTGTATTATTAATATCTTGTGTTATGAAATAGGAAGTCTATGTTAAGTACTTCCACAGCATACCAGAGTATGATGGAATTCTTGAGGAAAAGTGCTTGCGAAATTAAGTTGTGAGCTGGACTAGAGACTTTTTCATAAAAAATTATCTTTGCTTGAATAAATGACTGAAGATTCTTTATTTTCTTGAAAATGAATAAAGTGAGCCTATCATAAAACTGATGGTATTTTGTTGCCAATAATAAAATTAAAGCTTTGTATCTGCTACCATTGACAGCTTCCCAAGATTTAAAGTCTTTTTGATGATATTTGAGATGATACTAACAAATGCGATTATATATAGTGTAATCAAATGTGTCAATATTTGGAAGATCTTCATAAACCTGTGATTCATTATTTTTCAAATGACTAATACATGATTTTACAGAATCATGAATGGGTAAAAGATCCATTCAAAGTGCAAGATGAAAGGATTTGTATATAACGGAGTCTGGAAAGTTCACTGATATGACTTCACATCCCACATTGCAATTCATCTTTATGAAGCTGCCTCCCTTCAGTGTAATATCAAAGAATAACTGAAAGGCTATTAAAATATGCCTACCTTTTCCAAGGTAGACTTTCTTTATATGCTTCATCGAAAACAACATGTAACAATATTTAACGCCAACACAGATATGAGAATCCAGCCATCTTCAATGAAAGTAGATATTACAAAGATTTGCAAAAATGTAAAACAATGACACTCTTTTCATTGTTTTAATTTTTTTAAATGGAGTTATTTTTTCATAAAAATATTTTCATGTTAATATGTAATGACTTTCCTGTTATGTAGAAATAAGTAAATAAAATCTTAAAATGCCACAGTGTTAATTCTGACTACAGTAAATATCAGTGGATATAACTCACGTAAACAAAAGTTTTGATGAGATCTCAATTTTTAAGAGTATAAAGTGGCCTTCAGTCCAAGGAGTTGGAGCAGTGCTCACTGGCCAAATATGCTGTCTCTCTCCATTAGAAGGTAAGGATCATGAGAACAGTGATCTTGCCTGACTGCCACCACTTTTATCTCCACTTTGTGGAACACGGCTGGCAAATAGCACTGAGAAGCATTTCCGCTGCAGCTGTCCATGCTTGCACATCTGGTTTTAATTCACCACACCCCAGTAAATACTGACCTGAAGGCCAGCAGCTTCTTTCCAGCTGTTGGCTGAGTCATTTTTACATGCCATGTCCAGGCCATTCAGATATCTCTTCGTCTTCCTTGGGCTAATCAAGTTATCACGGAGCACATGAAAGCCAGGAAAGATGAGATGATATTTTAAAGTTCTACAAATATTATTTCTTTATTTAGGAAAAATGTACTTGCTGAAGATCAGCCACAAAAATGGAATCCAAACTTGATTGGAATACTTTAAATTACCCCGCAATTTTTAAGCGTAGGGTCCTGGCAGAACTTTTAAGAGTTAAATATATCTGCCAATTTCTTTGTCTAATTATATTGAAGATGGTATTTACTTTTCCTACCCTTATATATTGTGGATTTGTAAGGACTGCCTTTCTAAGAGTTGTCACTTCTTATCAGTTGAAACGTCAGAAACGGTGTAGCCCCTCTTAATATATTCCTACTGAAAATTACTCTGCAGTGGTGTTGTAACCATAATTAATTGTTTGCAATTTGATTTGGGATCCACAGGAGAAAAAGGTGAAACATGATTTCCAAGTAGTTATGTTTACCATTATGGTTTAATGACACGCATTAGCCATACAAATGCAAAAGCAACATAACCTAGGGACCGGATTCTAGTACTTTATGCATAGAAGCAGCCAAGTGATTCTCATTAGTGTTTATAGAAGTCAAACCCACCATAAACCTTAAGGCAATGATTACAACATATTGCCTGGTGTTCTTACAAGTAAACACTATCTAAGAGAGAGTAGTTTGGCATATGAATTTCAAAAAGCACTGTTATTCATGTGAACACCCACCGGAGATCAAAGCACATCTAAGCACAAATAAAAGTTTCTTAGTTTTAACTAGTAGTTAGGAGTTTTTAAAAGCTGTAACTCAATAGAGAATGTTTAAGCAGAATGATGCTCACAAAAGTAGTCACACGTATCTGCTGCAGTGACTAAATAGATCTAGGACTTAATTTCTTTTTCCTTAAATCTGAAATATTGACAGATTTTCTACTATGTACTTGAGACTGAGAGTAGTACTACACATAAGTTGCTAAGTGTAAGGGTGATTATTTTTTAAATGTCTCTCCTAGAAAGCTAAAAAGAACGGAAACAAAGTCACAAAAATAACTGTTTATAAACTGTGTACTTAAAAGGAAATTTGATTCTGGCCTTTGGCCTGGCTGGGAATAAACTGGGAAGCTGTTACTCCATCCTAACAACAAGTGAAAAGCTGAATGAACTGAAAATCAACAGCCTTCTTAGACCCACAGAAAAGTGAGGTCTCAGGACAAACCACTATGCCTAAAAGTGGAGAAACAGACAAACAGGTAATGAGAATCACAGCATAGCAAAACAGAAATCTCTGTAGGAAACAGTACCAGGTACTTCACGTTATACTTTCAACAAAAAATTACAAGGCATACTAAAAAGCAAAACATACAGCTTGAAAAGACAGAACAAGCATCAGAACCAGATTCAGATATGGCAGGGATGTGGGAATTATAAGATTAGGAATATGAAAGAATAATGTTAAAGGCTTTGTTGGAAAAAGTAGGCAACACCCAAGAACAGATGGGCAACGTAAGCAGACAGCTGGACATTCTAAGGCAGAATTAAATAAATTCTAGAATCAAAAACACTGTCACAGAAAAATTTTAAATGCTTTTAATGGGCTGGACATGGCTGAGGAAAGGATTTTCATATTTGAAGATATGTCAATAAATACTTCCAAAATTGAAAAGCAAAGCAAAAAAAAAAGACTGAAAAAAATAAAATAGAATATTAAAGGATTTGAGACAATTACAAAAGGTGTAACATACAAACACAGGGAATGCAAGAAGAAAAAGAAAGAGAAAAAGGAACAGAAGAAATATTTGAAATAATAATGACTAAGAACTTCACCAATTAATATGAGACCCAACCACAATTTCAGGAAGTGGAGAGAATACCAAGTAGGATAAGTGCCAAAAAGAAAAAAAAAGCACAAGAAGAGAGAAGGAAAAAGCCCTACACTTATATTCAGGCATATAATATTCAAACTGCAGAAAATCCAAAATAAAGAAAACATATTGACTGAAGCCAGAGGGAAAAACATCTTATTTATAGAGCAGTAATTATAAGAATTACATCTGACGTCTCAGAAACCAGGCAAGCAAGCACAGAACAGAGTGAAAAATTCAAAGTATTGAGGAAAAACCACCAGCCTGTAATTCTGTACCACGCAAAATTACCCTTCAAAAGTGAAAGAGAAATAAAAACTTTCTCAGACAACCAAAAACTGAGGGAATGTATTGTCAGTAGACCTGCCTTGCAAAAAATGCTTTTTAAAAAAGTTCTTTAGAGAGAAAAAAAATTATACAGATCAGAAACATGGAGCTACATAAAGAAAGGAAAGATTTAGGGAAGAAATAAGGGAAGATAAAATAAAATCTTCTATTTCCTATTCTCAATTGAGCTAAGAGACAACAGTTTGTTCAAAATAATAATAACTGATATATTCTATGATTATAGCTTATGTGTAAGTGAAATGAATGAGGGTAATGACACATGGCATGGGAGGGAGGAATTAGGAATATAATACTCTAATACACATATAAAACATGTAAAATAGAATGTCTCTACATTATAATATTCCTTTAACACAAGAAAATGTGCAAGGTGTTATAAGAGAGTTAAACAGTGAGAAGTAATTTAAATTGGGTGGCTAGGTAGGGCCTCTCCAGGGAAGGGTATTTAGGATGAGACTGGAAGGATGCATCAGTTAACCAGATGGAGAGCTATGAAGAGTGTTGTGAGCAGAAGTAAGAGAATGT
Source organism: Homo sapiens (assembly GCF_000001405.40). NCBI lineage: Eukaryota > Metazoa > Chordata > Mammalia > Primates > Hominidae > Homo > Homo sapiens. The sequence goes on along the minus strand of NW_025791781.1, from coordinate 330,638 downwards.
GTCAAGTACCATGCATTTTGCCTCATGAGAGACACTGAAATAGAAAGAAGCTGTGAGATAGAGAAAAGGAGACCAGGGCAAGCTAGAGAAGGAGGTCGATTCAGTTCCCGCAAGGACTTTTAGGTGATGGGATGCTGGTGTGTTGGATTTTATGAGATGTGCTAACCTGGGGTATGACATGATCTTAGTTATATTATAAGATAATTATGTTTGCTATGTGGAGGATTGATTAATTGTCACAAAGCAAGATTGAAACTATAAGAACAATTAAGAAGCTACTGTGTAGTTTCAGTGAAAGGTAGTGGCTATTTGCTCTAGGTACTTAGAAGTGGTATGGAAAAAAGTGAATAGATATACACACACATGTACCTGACATAAAAACAGAATTGTTATTTCTTGGCTTATAAATTTCTAGCCATATTAGTTTGACTATCACACTGGCATAAAAGAATCAGGTGACAAAGATCAAATTTGAAGACTCTAGAGCATGCTCAGGCCTTATCACAAAGTAATGGTAAAGAATACTTCGTTCTCTAACAAAATAACTGGAACTTTCAGTTTGGTTGTAATTTCAGTAGCATAGGTTCTAAGTAAAATTTTCTTTCTAGATAATCTCTGAAATCATCTTTTCTTTCTTTGAAAATTTGTCCTTTAAAACTCTATTTCAAGGTTCTTTCTCATCTTCTTCTATTGGTGACATGGCCTCATTTTCTGTCAAGGAACCAACTGTTCTAAATTTCTTGAATCCCTGGCAATGTCTTTGAATTTTCCTATTTGTCATCTTCCAAATTTAACCATTTACCTTTATCTTCATATGTAGCAGTTCCCACATACCTTCAATGCATTTTTAAATGATACAGTATTTTGCTTAAGTCCATGCTGCAATAAATACCCTGGTACATGCCCCCTGATGAACTTGTGCAAAACATCCCTAGGATATCTCATTGAGTAGCTCTCAGCTGGCAGCCATGTGCTCCAGGAATTCAGAAAATACTATCTTGCTGTCTCTGGCTTCCGTTAGTATATTGGGAAGCTCATTGTTGGTCTAATCACCATTCTTTTACGGGAAATCTCTGTTTTCTTGGCTGTTTTAAATGATTTTCTTTGCTTCGCTTGTTTTATTCTGTTCTTTCATGTACCTAGTGTGATGTTTGTTAGCTTTCCTGAATTTAAAGATTCATTTTGCTCATTAATTCTAAACAATTCTCACGTGTTACCTCTTAGAGTATGCTCCCACTCCACCCCTATCTTTTTTCTCTCCTCCTAAAACTCGGATCAGTAGTATGTTTGACCTTTTCATTTTCTCTCCTATACCTTCCCACCTGTCTTTTATGTTTATTTCCTTATATTTGGGTTGCCTTCTACATAATTTCTTCAACTCTAACTTCCAATTCAGTAATTGTCTCAGATGCTGTTTATTATATTGCTAGACATTCTGCTGTGCTCTATTCCTAGTCTGCCTTTTCATTTTTAGTCAAAACCTTTGTTCATTTAAAAATCATATTAAGGAATCTTACTACATAATCTATAACTGATCACTCAAAAACCTTCTATGAAGCTCAACCATAAAGAGAAACCCACAGATACACCAAAAATAGAATATCCTTACAGTTGCCTCAGAGGAAAGTCCTGTGCACAACCTCTGCCCACAGAATTAAATTCTGACCCTTCCACTTACTAGTGAGGTGAGTTTGAAAAATTCCTTGACTATTCTGAGTCTTAGTCTTAATATCTGTGTAAGGTAGTATTAGTTCCTATCTCCAAAGAATGCGGTGATGATTAACTTAGCAAACATATTCAGTATTCAGAACAGAAGGTGGAAAACAGAAAAAAAGGAAATATGAGGAAAAAGAATCAACAACTGATGTTTTTAAAATCTCATTTAAAAGCTACAGATTTCTCTAACAATGGCTCATTGGCTCTGTTAGCCTTTAGAAATAACTACATAGCAAATCACTAAATGAGGAACAATTATGTCAAATTGTGAATAACTCATTACTGCAGAAAAAATTAAATTGAAATTTTTAGAAAAAGCTATATGACAAAAAATTACCCTTTATTAAAATGTGAGAATATCTGAAACAGTTAGATGGGAAATCAATAATACCTGCTAAATCAAGCCATTGCTGTGGCTGTTCACAATCCCATGCTGAGGTAGCATGCCTCTATGTGGGTTCTGGAAAAGAGGTTTGTTATCCAGTAGTGATGACAACCAGGGGCCCCAGAGAAGGGAGAGACATCAAATGAGAAATGCATCCTCCACATATGAGCTAGGAAATGGGCCTCAACACTGCAACTGTTGTTGTTTGCCCCAATTCAGCTGTGCTGGACATTAGAAGCAGGGGCCAGAAACCTCATATCCACAGGGAATGTAACTGAGTCCGCTTTGCAAGAACCTCAACTTTAGACTCAAACAGCACAATTATCAAAATAGAAAACAAAGTTAAAATTCTTCCCAAAACAAATATCTTGCCCAGATGGTTTTATAGGTGATTTTTTTAACCAAACATCCAACACACAAATACTTAGGATTTTATGTAAATTCTTCCAGAGAATAGAAACAAAAATACTCAGCAATTTTATGAATATAAAAGATGCCACCCTTAGGTACTTAGTGTGAGGCATTTATTATGTCTGTGTCCCAGTAGAAATATAAAAGAATATTTGTGGCAACACTGGTTGCCATGGCCTCGAGGGGAAACAGTTCAAATGTCTAACAACCGATGAATAAATTTTGGCTTGTTGACATAATATATCCAGAGGGGAAAATGGTGAATCAAAGCTAGACATCAGCCAGGACAAACTCAGAAATCTAATGTTGGGGAACAGAAAAAGAAAGTCACAGAAGGGCTGGGCATGGTAGTCCCAGCACTTTGGGAGGCTGAGGCAGACAGACTGCTTGAGCCCAGAAGTTCAAGACCCTCATGAGCCACATAGCAAGATCCCTTCTTTGCAAAAAAAAATACAAAAAATTAGCCGGGCATGGGGGCACACATCTGTAGTCCTAGCTATTCAGGAGGCTGAATTGGGGAAGACTGTTTGAGCCCAGGAGGTCAAGGCTGCAGGGAGTCCTGATTGTGCCACTGCACTCCAGCCTGGCCTGGGTGACAGAGCAAGATCCTGACTTGAAAACAAAACACACAAAATGACTGCTTTATTGTAAGGTCAAACCAGGCAAATCTGAACAACATATTGTTTAGAGAATCAGTCATAGGTGGTAAAACCTTTAAAGAAATTCAAGGGAGTATTTCAGAGGAACCTAGGCCAGCAGCTATTTGCCCCAGGGTGGGGGTGGGGAGGTGGTGTGATGTAAGGTGCGCAGGGCAGGTTTTAAAAGAACTGGTGACATCATTTCTTTAGATGGATACATTGGTTTTAGCATCATTCTTTAAGCTTAAAATATACTAGATAAAATATTTTGTAATTTTGATATATTTAATAATTAAAAAGTAATAAAAGCTAGAGGACATTTGAAGGAAGCAATTTAGACAGTTATTCCATATGTCATTACGATATTATTACGATGGCTCCCTAGTCATTCATGTTCTGAAATTCAAAGCATTTTTAATTTATTCAAAAGTAAAGACAAATAAAAAATGTTTTGCTTATACAATTGGCTGAACAATTTGGAATACCTTTGCTGAGTCGTTTTAATTCAAATTCAAATTAAGTGGATTAACTGTGTCCTCTCTCACAGATAAATACTTCCTTTATTTCCTCCACGTTGTACTCTAAGCATTTAAACTATTTGCTTTCAGAAAGCTATTATCTTTCTTGGTGTGATACACAATTTCCAAATATTCCTGGTCATATTTGTAGATTTGAATGGGCCCAATTGACATCCACATCTTATGTGTCTTCTGAGATATTAACTGAAGCTTGCTTCAATCTCTGACTCTACAGAGAATTCCAGTGGATGTCAAATGAATGAGCTGGATGGAAATGCAATCATTTAACAGTGAGCCAAAATAGGCCCTTTCCCTGAAAGTGATTTTTAGAAGCAGTGTTCTCTGAAGCAGAACATTCTGGAGTATTATGTCCCTCAAAGCATTTGGGTCCTTTAGCTTAAATGCGCATCTCTCCTCATAAGCCATTACATACCTTAAAAATTCTGGAGTGCAAAAATTTGTTGCTTATAAATAGCATATTTATGTGTTAAATATCTGCAGCTTATGGGCCTTCATTCCTTTTTTATTCTTATTGCCCCGAAGACAATTTCTAAAATGATTTTAGAGATATGGAGTAGTAAATGAGGTATTCCTGAGAGAGAGCCTGAAGTGAAAGCAGTTTAGTTTGAAATGTCCCAAGTAATCATTTGGTTTTATATGTGTGCTTCAAGGTAGGTTAAGGTGGGACAAGAGAATGAGCATTTGCTCTTGCACCTGTAATTAAAATGGCAGAATCTCAGAGTTTCCTGGAATAGAATCTTATGTCAAGTTACTAAGAAAAATATAGTGCACTTTTGGCATTACAAGCCAACTATTGACAATGTGATGCAGATTCTGAATGAACAATTTGTTTTGTATTTCAACATAATATGCTTATAAAATCACAAACTATTTGTATTAACAATTAAAATATTAGTTTCAGAATTTATTCATTTTCACATATATTAACTTTTCAGTGATCAGCACTTAGCTCTGTTTCCTGCTTTCCAGCTTGCTAACTGGTTCAAAATAAAATCAAGACTTAGTGAAAACTATGTTCTTAACATAATGGTTTGAAGTATGTCATTTTCTTCTGGTTAAAACAAAAGAAGAGAAATCTTATGTGAACAATCTATGGTCTGAAACATTTACTATGGTTTTATCTTAAAATAATGTAGTGGGTTACTGTGTCTACTTCAACAGCTGCCTTGAGGCTTTGTTTGTTTGTTGGTTCAAATGGCTACCATCAGTCAAAGGAGACAGGCACAGTCAGCTCATTACAGCCTTAGCTGATGTACTAATGTAACTTCTAAGTCGGCTTAACATCAAACTTGCAAAATGCTTAGCTATTAAACAATATTTTGTTCTTAGCTGTATTTAGAAAAAAATGAGGATTTTGATCCTTTCTATATGGAAATGATGACCTTTAGTAGAAGAAAATTCTTTTTATTTATTTACAATTACTAAACTCTACTGCTTGTAAAACTTCAATTAGAAAATGATGTTTAAATCTTGTAGGTAGATATCTGCATGTGTATTTCTGAATTTGAATATGTGTGTATATATGCATAATGACAGAATAAAGTAATTTAAATTTAACATGTAACATAGATATGTAATATATAACAAACATAAATATGAATGTAAATATAGATACATAAACAACATACATACAAACATATAAATATAAATATATACATATAAAATATATGTAAATACATATAAAATAAAAGTATTTTTTACGTATAAAATACCTTAAAAAGATTTTGCTTCAGGCTAAAGATTTCATATGAGTATTTAATATTTCTACCTTTCTAACTTTAATATATTTAAAGTGAGAGTTCTTTGCTATTTTTATATAATTTTTGAATATTAATTTACCATTAATGTGTTATTTTCTTGGTATCTGTAATAAGAAATATATATGGTGGTCCTTACCCTCAGGTCTTTATCCTGAGATAGAGTTCTTAAAATCCTTGCAGTAGGGGTGCTGGAGGAATAATTTGTTCTGTATTTGTTCTTTAATCCTAGCTTCTGACACAGAGCTCCTTTGTAATGTCCTGAGTGACAAAAGCATCTTTTGTTCTAACGGGGTGGCTCTCAGTGGGCTCCTGGATACCCTTAGAGTGAGGGCTGGTTTCCCGGGGAACAAACCACCTGTGTAATGAAGGGGTTGGAACTTTCAGCCCCACCTTCTAACCTCTAGGAAGGGGAGAGGAACTGAAGGTTGAGTTGATCATCAATGGACAATGATTTAATCAACTATGACTGCATAATGAAGCCTCCATAAAAACCCAAAAGGCTGAGTTCAGAAAGCTTCCAGATTGCTGAACACATAGAGATGTCTGGGGTTGGCTCCAATCCAAAAGACGGCATGGAAGCTCTGCTTCTCCCTACATTTCTTGCCCTGTGCATCTCCTCTGTCTGTCTGGCACCCGAATCCTTTGCAATGTCCTTTATGATAAATGGGAAAATGTAAGTAAGTGTTTAGCTGAGTTCTCTGAGTTGCTCTAGCAAATTATTGGAACCCAAGGAAGGGTCCCAGGAACCCAGGTTTATAGCTGGTCAGTCACAAGCTTGGGACTGTCACCTGAAGTGGGGGCAACCTTCTGGGGCTGAGCCCTCACTTGTGGGGTCTGGAGCTTCCTCCAGGTAGATAGAGTCAGAATTGAACTGAATCACAGGACACCGCGCTGGTGTTCACAGAAGCATTGCCTGTGCTGGTGGCAGAAACTCTCACATACATTTTGGTAACCAGAGGTAAGGTGTTGCATTGAGTGTGATTGACTGTGTAAGAATGTAGAGGGAGAAACAGGTTTTTTGTCTGTTTTTTTACTCAAATTAATTTATTATGAATGTGTAGATGTGTCATTTCATTGAAATTTTTCCTGTGTTTCTTCTGAACCCCTGAATTAAATTAAATGTCAACTATATAGACCAGTTATATGTGAAAGAGTTAAGTGTCATCCAATATTTCTTCTGCCTCTCTGCTGTCTCAGACAATCGATCCTGCCATCCCTCAGGAACCTTTAGACAGGTACTATAAGAGTCATGCCTTGTGAGCATTTCCCTAAGTTTCTGTTGTATGTAAAATTATAAGGCCATCTAAAACATGTGTACTCATTTTAGAGGAATCTGTGGTTAAAAAACAGAACATGTAGAATCTGTTCTTTTCACTGAGCAATAATTTTAATAATCCAGAAGAACACTGACAGGCGGGGTTTGGAGAATAGCAGACTGATGTCCCCGATTTTCAGGAGAGCATATTACTGACACCTAATCAGACACCCATGACAGAGCTGGGCATGTTATCATCACACAGAAATACACTTGAAGTGATTTTTAATTTGGGGTGTATTTCCTACACTGTTGAACTTAAGTAACCCCTCAGTTGAAATGTTTAGCATTATGTGGAATATTAAGTGTCAGTGACTCAAGAGTATTTTAGATTGCATTTATTATAAGTGAGTTCTAACTGCCATTCAATCTTGTAATAGAGCTCTCATTTTAATTATTTGTACTTTGCCTTGCACAAAATAAATAAATAAATATGGTTTCTAGTTATACTAAAGCAAATTTTATGTCTAAATAATTTGTATATTGACCTATGATTATATTTATAACTCTTTGTTTAGAGACGTGTAATACAGTAATTTGACCATGTGTATAATAAACATTTGTTTACAAATGGAAAACAGCAAAATGTATGGGTTTTAAAATAAAAATAAAAAACAAGATAATTTTTGTTTTACCTTGGTTATCTTTCTTCTTTCCTGTATTTTTTGTGAGTTTATCGATGATAAAGTGAATTCTCCAAATCTTCCTTGTAAAATACTTTTTAAAAGTACTATATACTTCTAAAGAAGCTTTATATATTTATTCTATTTTCATCTTTGCTTATTTATTTATGAAACACATGAAAATAGATATAAAAGAAAAGGCATTAGTGTAAAAACTGTTATGAATTTGCATGAGTGGATATGCACTTCATTGTTTTAACAAGAAAGGTATAAGCTTTTGTTTGTACATTTGTGGTTGCTTTTTGCCACTAAGGCTAAAGTATAGGATGTGGTGTATTCTGTTGCTTGGCTGTCACATATCCTTTTGTGTAGCATCCTGTATGCTGAGAACAGGTTTTGCAGACTGGAGTGCATGACTCCTGGAACCTGGAAGTGGCTATGGCCAAGAAGAGCACGTCGTAGGGTAAAGGCTGGGCTGGTGGACACTGCCTTCCACCATAACCTCTAGACAAATCACTTTATGTGCAGATTTGTTGACTTTCCGAAGTTGAGTGAGACAGAGTTAAGCGATTCTTATTCTTACACTGATATCATTGAAGTCAACTGTTAATCTCCAATTCAAAAACATAATATTTTAGCTTTATTTGCCCTGCCTGGTCAGTTGTCCAAATGGTAATGTTTCAATCCTATGTCTTTTCTTCTTGGTTATTTTCCTAATTATGATTGATTTTATATTTTGAATCTATGTGCAGCTCCCAGAAAATGTTTTAGCAAGTGGGAAATTTGTAAAATATACTAAAAATTCATAAATAATTTATGACTGTTGTGTAGCAATGTAATCATTCAATACATGAGATAACTGCCAAATACTTGTTTTATTCTTTTGTTCTCTTTCTTTCTTTTTCTTTGTCCCTGCAAAATTATCATTTAAATATACTCTTATTTCTGTTTATAAAATATAACACACATTTATTTTGGAAAGGTTAGAAAATAAAGAAAATATAATAAGCCAACATTTTTATCCAAAATCCCTTCACTCAGAGAACCTCTGAAAACATTTTGTTTAGAGCTTTTCAGTTTTTCTTCCTTTAAAATACACATGGCTCTCACAGTACATTGTAATTTCATGTCTATATTCAGCTTTATTCATACAACAACATAGCATGAGAACTTTCCCCTGTGTTTATATATATCACAAGAGCTAGTTTTGCACAGAATTTAACTAAGAGTTCTCCTCTTACTGGATTGTGATGCTATTTTACAGTTTTAACAACTTTCAATAATATGAAATTAATCATGGTTCATAAATTATCCTGTGCATATTCAATTATACACTTAGGCTGTGTCTTGAGATATTAAATTATTGAATCAAAGTGCATGAACATTTTTAAGAATTTTTATACATATTAACATGTTGTCTCACACATGTGCACACCTACACATAATAGCATACAATTTCATCAAGAAATTGGTCATTTCATCAACCTCTACTGAACACCAAAAATGACCTCTACTGTATATTAAAAGTGAAAAGGCACAGTCAATTTAGAAATTAGGCCTAATGAGCCCGTTAACCAAATGGACATTAATTTGGTTCTAAACTTGCTAGCAAGCAACAAATGGCACAGGGCAACTTTATGACAATATCATTTGTGATGCCAGAGACAGAAATTCAATAGGAATTCTTAGAAGGCAATCTTTCTAAAGAAGCTAAAAATGATTATACATATTTATTATTGATACAAGCAGTTTTTATTGGGTGGTTTCTTTTAAAAATCACGAATATGGAGTGCTGGAAACAAGTTAAAATGTAATTCCATAAAATTAATTTTGCAGAAGGTCTATGTAGTTTTCTCAAATTGCCCATATTGCTTTTGGTCTCTAAAGACAGGTATGTAAAAAAGCAAATTTTAGGATATAGTGCAAGTGCAGATGGGTTGAACTTTCTTTCAAAACCTTGTCTTCGAAAAGCATGTTTCAGCTGAGCTTCTCTTAAATAGTGGGTGACGGTGAGTCAGAGATTATACACTGTATTTTCAATGGAATCACAGAGTAAATTTATGCATAGGGCTTTTTTTAACATAAAAGAAAAGAGTGATGTAAAAAAAGCATTTTACAACTCAAGAGGACATGAATTTCATCATCCTTGTTCTCAGAAAGAAAATGCATGTACACAAGACAAAGACAAGAACATGATCCTTTTTTTAAAACACAGCTGGGCTTTGGCTGCAGATTCCAATATAGAGCTTGTGAATTAGACAGCTCGAGTGCACAGAGCTTTTTGCCAAAATAGAGGTGTCCTAGAAGTATAGCAACCAGAGAACTAGGTGGTCTTTTGTTTTTCCTCATGCTCTACTGACCTCAATCTTCTCTCTTACAATGTTGGTGTTTAAAAAGTATTGTAGAATAGGAAAAGAGCTCAAGAACAAAACAGCAGTTGTATACAATTCTCAAACTCACCCATCCTGGGCTTTCTCTGTCATTTACATATATACTTTGCAAGCAGTTCTAACTTTTAACATTGTAGCCAGCCTTCATTCAAAAGATTATTAGGTAATTTAGAAACAAATTATAGAGAGAAGGGGATGATACCAGAGTATCAGGAATATTTTATCGGAGCAGAAGAGTTTAATTAGCCTGTCTACATATTACTCCCATATCATAGATTCCATATGTATAGAAATGTTATTTGGATTACTCTCTATGGAATCAAAGGTCAATAAAAGCCAGTAATCTTAAAAATCCCTTCATGTTATTCCTTATAAATAGAATGTTCTAAAGTAGAACGATGTGTCTGAAGCTATTAATTCCTTATGCGACACAGATGATGTGACAATCATCATGCATACCTATTATTTTAAAACAAGGCAGCATCAATTTATTTCTTTTCTTGTCATAATGGAGGAGAAGAAAAGATAAGATTCTCTTAATTAGAGAAGAAAAACTGTCATCTATATATCTTCTAATATATACACAAATTTATAAATTTGAATATTACTCATCATGATTAAGGGGAAAATTCCCTTAAAGATTAACGATTCAAGGATAAGTATTTTATGATTATTACATGCTGAAAAAGAATAGTCTTATATATGTAATGCTTCATTTTTTAAATTCTATTAAATTTTTTCTTTCAGTGTGCTTTCATTATTTAAAATCCTATTTCAACCAGCAGAATCAACAACTCTTTTTTCTGTCCTGTCTGTTCTGAGATTCTCTCACAAGCAGCTACAAATTAGGAGAGCCTGTGGTCTCAAGCCTCTGTACAAAATCTCATTTGTCAGCACTGGGTGAAACAGTGCAATCCTAAGAAAACAAAGGTGTATAAAAGAAAAAGAAAAAAAAACATGGATTATGGGGGGAATGCAAGATTTTGCTTCTATCAAAGTGTTGCAAATGTTTTACAATTTGTTTACCTTTCAATGGGGGGGTCCAATATTAATTTTTAATTTAACTAGTCAAAGATATCAATATTTTACTTTATGGGTTCGTTCCTTATGTTCATGATCAGAAAGGCTCCTCAACTTCTGGTGCAAATCAGCCTTCCTTTTATATTCTAATAATCTCCATTCCAAAGAGCTTCTCTGGGCATGCTCCTCATCTCAGGCCAGAAAACACCCATTCACCAATTGTTTGGCTCAATTATCTATTGAGTCATCCTTGACTCTTTTCCCTCACATTCTATATCCAAAACATAAGCAAAGCCTGTTGGTTTTACCTTCAAATACACTAAAAATCTGAGAATTTCTTCTTACCACTAAAGTCACTACCTTGGTGCAGGCTGATGCTATCTCTTGTTTGGATTATCCAAGTAACCTCCTCACTGGGTGCCCTGCTGTAAACCCTGTGGTCCTACCCCTTCTGCCACCTCCTCCCATCAGCTGTGTGAGTGTCCTCCTGAAAATGTAACTCAGATTTTGTGTGCTTGTTCACTAATAACCATCCATTGGTTCCTCTAAGCACTTTGTTCAAACGCCACCCTATTGTCAAGGACCTTCTTGACGACTCAACATTAATAGTATGTCCTATTGCTCACTCTCCCAGTTACTCTGTTTTTTGTTTTTTATTAATTTTTTTAAAAAAGGTTTGATTTGCAAAATTATTGTAAAGATAGTAGAGAGAGTTTCCATATACCCTATACCAACTTCCCCCAGTAGTAACATCTTATATAAGGATGATACATTTGTCACAACTAATGGACTGCTATTTAATTTTAATTAAAATTCCTTACTTTATTCAGATTTCCTCAGCCTTTTTCACAATGTCCTTTTTCTGTTATAGGGTCCCACCTAGGATGCCACATAACATTTAGTCATCATGTGTCATTAAGCTTCTCTTGACTATGACAATTTCTCAGACTTTTCTTGTATTTGATTACTTTGACAGTTTTGAGGAGTAATGGTCAGGTATTTTGTAGAATGTCCCTACAATGAAATTTGTCTGATGTTTTTCTCATGATTACACTGGGCTAATGTGTTTATTGGAGGAAGAACAGAGAAAAAAATGTCATCTTCATCACATTGTATCAAGAATACCTCTTATCAATATGATTCATGATTGCTGGTGCTAAACTTTATCACCTAGCTTGAAGCAGTTCTTGTCAGTTCTCTTCTCTGCATAGTAACATTTTAAAAACAATTAATTTTCTATATCGTACTCTTTGAAAGAAGTCACCATGGTCAGCCCACACTTAAGAAGAGGGAGTATGCATTTGGAATTTTTCTGCATAGAAGATTTCTCCAGGGGGTGGAGCCAAGATGGTCGAATAGGAGCAGCTCCAGTCTACAGCTCCCAGCATGAGCAATGCAGAAGATGAATGATTTCTGCATTTCCAACTGAGGTACTTGGTGCATCTCACTGGGGATTGTCAGACAGTGGGTGCAGGACAGTGGGTGCAGTGCACCGGGCCTGAACCAAAGCAGGGCGAGGCATCACCTCACCCGGGAAGTGCAAGGGGTCAGGGAATTCCCTTTCCTAGCCAAGGAAAGGGGTGACAGATGGCACCTGGAAAATTGGATCACTCCCACCCTAATATTGCGCTTTTCTGACAGTCTTAGCAAACGGCACACCAGGAGATTATATCCTGCACATGGCTCAGAGGGTCATACACCCACGGAGCCTCGCTCATTGCTAGCACAGCAGTCTGATTTCAAACTGCAAGGTGGCAGCGAGGCTAGGGGAGGGGCGCCTGCTGTTGCCGAGGCTTGAGTAGGTAAAGAAAGCGGCCAGGAAGCTCGATCTGGGTGAAGCCCACCGCAGCTCAAGGAGGCCTGCCTGCCTCTGTAGACTCCACCTCTGGGGACAGGGCATAGCCAAACAAAAGGCAGCAGAAACCTCTGCAGACTTAAATGTCCCTGTCTGACAGCTTTGAAGAGAATAGTGGTTCTCCCAGCACACAGCTGGAGATCTGAGAACAGAAAGACTGCCTCCTCAAGTGGGTCCCTGACCCCCGAGTAGCCTAACTGGGAGGCACTCCCCAGTAGGGGCAGACTGACACCTCACATGGCCGGGTACTCCTCTGAGACAAAACTTCGAGAGGAACGATCAGGCAGCAACATTTGCTGTTCACCAATATCTGCTGTTCCGCAGCCTCTGCTGCTGATACCAAGGCAAACAGGGTCTGGAGTGGACCTCTAGCAAACTCCAACAGACCTGCAGCTGAGGGTCCTGACTGTTAGAAGGAAAACTAACAAACGGAAAGGACATACACACCAAAACCCCATCTGTATGCCACCATTATCAAAGACCAAAGGTAGATGTAACCACAAAGATGGGGAAAAAATGAGCAGAAAAACTGAAAATTCTAAAAATCAGAGAGCCTCTCCTCCTCCAAAGGAATGCACAAAGCTGGACAGGGAATGACTTTGACGAATTGAGAGAAGAGGGCTTCAGATGATCAAACTACTCCAAGCTAAAGGAGGAAGTTCAAACCCATGGCAAAGAAGTTGAAAACCTTGAAAAAAGATTAGATGAATGGCTAACTAGAATAACCAATGCAGAGAAGTCCTTAAAGGACCTGATAGAGTTGAAAACCATGGCGCAAGAACTACGTGATGAATGCACAAGACTCAGTAGCCGATTTGATCAACTGGAAGAAAGGGTATCAGTGATGGAAGATGAAATGAATGAAATGAAGTGAGAAGAGAAGTTTAGAGAAAAAAGAATAGAAAGAAACGAACAAAGCCTCCAAGAAATATGGGACTGTGTGAAAAGACCAAATCTATGCCTGATTGGTGTACCTGAAAGTGATGGGGAGAATGGAACCAAGTTGGAAAACACTCTGCAGGATATTATCCAGGAGAACTTCCCCAATCTAGCAAGGCAGGCCAACATTCAAATTCAGGAAATACAGAGAATGCCACAAAGATGCTCCTTGAGAAGAGCAACTCCCAGACACATAGTTGTCAGGTTCACCAAAGTTGAAATGAAGGAAAAAATGTTAAGTGTAGCCAGAGAGAAAGGCCGGGTTACCCGCAAAGGGAAGCCCATCAGACTAACAGCTGATCTCTAGGCAGAAACTCTACAAGCCAGAAGAGAGTGGGGGCCAGTATTCAACATTCTTAAAGAAAAGAATTTTCAACCAAGAATTTCATATCCAGCCAAACTAAGCTTCATAAGTGAAGGAGAAATAAAATCCATTACAGACAAGCAAATGCTGAGAGATTTTGTCACCATCAGACCTGCCCTAAAAGAGCTCCTGAAGGAAGCACTAAACATAGAAAGGAAAAACCGGTACCAGCCACTGCAAAAACATGCCAAATTGTAAAGACCATCGAGGCTAGGAAGAAACTGCATCAATTAATGGGCAAAATAACCAGCTAAGATCATAATGACAGGATCAAATTCACACAAAACAACATTAACCTTAAACGTAAATGGGCTAAATGCTCCAGTTAAAAGACACAGACTGGCAAATTGGATAAAGAGTCAAGACCCATCAATGTGCTGCATTCAGGAAACCCATCTCATGGGCAGAGACACACATAAGCTCAAAATAAAGGGATGGAGGAAGATCTGCCAAGCAAATGGAAAACAAAAAAAGGCAGAGCTTGCAATCCTAGTCTCTGATAAAACAGATTTTAAACCAACAAAGATCAAAAGAGACAAAGAAGGCCATTACATAATGGTAAAGGGATCAATTCAACAAGAAGAGCCAACTATCCTAAATGTATATGCACCCAATACAGGACCACCCAGATTCATAAAGCAAGTCCTTAGAGACCTAGAAAGAGACTTAGACTCCCACACAATAATAATGGGAGAATTTAACACACCACTGTCAACATTAGACAGATCAATGAGACAGAAAGTTAACAAGGATATCCAGGAATTGAACTCAGCTCTGCACCAAGTGGACCTAATAGACATCTACAGAGCTCTCCACCCCAAATCAACAGAATATACATTTTTTTCAGCACCACACCACACCTATTCCAAAACTGACCACATAGTTGGAAGTAAAGCACTCCTCAGCAAATTAAAAGAACAGAAATTATAACAAACTGTCTCTCAGACCACAGTGCAATCAGACTAGAACTCAGGATTAAGAAATTCACTCAAAACCACTCAACTACATGGAAACTGAACAACCTGCTCCTGAATGACTACTGGGTACATAACGAAATGAAGGCAGAAATAAAGATGTTCCTTGAAATTACCGAGAACACAGACAACATACCAGAATCTCTGGGACACATTCAAAGCAGTGTGTAGAGGGAAATTTACAGCACTAAATGCTCACAAGAGAAAGCAGGAAAGATCTAAAATTGACACCCTAACATCACAGTTAAAAGAACTAGAGAAGCAAGAGCAAACACATTCAAAAGCTAGCAGAAGGCAAGAAATAACTAAGATCAGAGCAGAACTGAAGGAAATAGAGACACAAAAAAAACCCTCAAAAAATCAATGAATCCAGGAGCTGGTTTTTTGAAAAGATCAACAAAATTGATAGACCACTAGCAAGACTAATAAAGAAGAAAAGAGGGAAGAATCAAATAGACGTACTAAAAAATGATAAAGGGGATATCACCACTGATCCCACAGAAATACAAACTACCATCAGAGAATACTATAAACACCTCTACACAAATAAACTAGAAAATCTAGAAGAAATGGATAAATTCCTTGACACATACACCCTCCCAAGACTAAACCAGGAAGAAGTTGAATCTCTGAAAAGAACAATAACAGGCTCCGAAATTGAGGCAATAATTAGTAGCCTGCCAACCAAAAAAAAGTCCAGGACCAGATGGATTCACAGCCGAATTCTACCAGAGGTACAAGGAGGAGCTGGTACCATTCCTTCTGAAACTATTTCAATCAATAGAAAAAGAGGGAATCCTCCCTAACTCATCTTATGAGGCCAGCATCATCTTGACACAACAGACTGGCAGAGACCCAACAAAAAAAGAGGATTTTAGACGAATATCCGTGAGGAAAATCGATACAAAAATCCTCAATAAAATACTGGCAAACTGAATCCAGCAGCACATCGAAATGCTTATCCACCATGATCAAGTGGGCTTCATCCCTGGGATGCAAGGCTTGTTCAACATATGCAAATCAATAAATGTAATCCAGCATATAAACAGAGCCTACAACAAAAACCAAATGATTATCTCAATAGATGCAGAAAAAGCCTTTCACAAAATTCAACAACCTTCATGCTAAAAACTCTTGATAAATTAGGTATTGATGGGACGTATCTCAACAAAATAGGAGCTATCTATGACAAACCCACAGCCAATATCATACTGAATGGGCAAAAATGGAAGCATTCCCTTTGAAAACTGGCACAAGACAGGGTTGCCCTCTCTCACCACTCCTATTCAACAAAGTGTTGGAAGTTCTTGCCAGGGAAATCAGGCAGGAGAAGGAAATAAAGGGTATTCAATTAGGAAAAGAGGAAGTCAAATTGTCCCTGTGTGCAGATAACATGATTGTATATCTAGAAAACCCCATCGTCTCAGCCCCAAATCCCCTTAAGCTGATAGGTAACTTCAGCAAAGTCTCAGGATACAAAATCAATGTGCAGAAATCACAAGCATTCTTATACACCAATAACAGACAAACAGAGAGTCAAATCATGAGTGAACCCCCATTCACAACTGCTTCAAAGAGAATAAAATACCTAGGAATCCAACTTACAAGGGACGTGAAGGACCTCTTCAAGGAGAACTACAAACCACTGCTCAATGAAATAAAAGAGGATACAAACAAATGGAAGAACATTCCATGCTCATGGGTAGGAAGAATCAATATCATGAAAATGGCCATACTGCGCAAGGTAATTTATAGATTCAATGCCATCCCCATCAAGCTACCAACGACTTTCTTCACAGAATTGGAAAAAACTACTTTAAAGTTCATATGGAACCAAAAAAGAGCCTGCATTGCCAAGTATCAGGGGACCTGCCCTGATAATCACGTAGGTTATTTTCTATTTTCCTAAGCGTCGGCTGGCTTGAGAAATAAAAGGACAGAGTACAAAAGAGAGAAATGTTAAAGCTGGGCGTCCGGGGGAGACATCACACGTTGGTAGGATCCGTGATGCCCCACAAGCCACAAAAACCAGCAAGTTTTTATTAGGCAGTTTCAAAAGGGGAGGGAGTATACGAATAGGTGTGGGTGACAGATATCAAGTACTTAACAGGGTAATAGAATCTAACAAGGCAAGTGGAGGCAGGGGGAGATCACAGGACCACAGGATGGAGGCGTAATTAAAATTGCTAATGAAGTTTTGGGCACCATTGTCATTGATAACATCTTATCAGGAGACAGGGTTTTGAGATCAACTGGTCTGACCAAAATTCATTAGGCGGGAATTTCCTCTTCCTAATAAGCCTAGGAGCACTATGGGAGACTGGAGTTTATTTCACCTCTGCAAACTCGACCATAAGAGACCAGTTCAGAGACCTACCCCTAGGTGCGCATTCTCTTTCTCGGGGATATCCCATGCTGAGAAAAAGAATTCAGCGATATTTCTCCCTTTTGCTTTTCAAAGAAGAGAAATATGGCTCTGTTCTGCCCGGCTCACTGGCGGTCAGAGTTTAAGGTTCTCTCTCTTATTCCCTGAACAATTGCTGTTATCCTGTTCTTTTTTCAGGGTGCCCACATTTCATATTGCTCAAACACACATGCTGTACAATTTGTGTAGTTAACCCAATTATTACAGGGTCCTGAGATGATATACATCCTTCTCGGCTGACAGGATTAAGAGATTAAAGTAAAGACAGGCATAGGAAATCACAAGCATATTGATTGGGGAAGTGATAATTGTCCATGAAATCTTTACAATTTCTGTTTAGAGATTGCATTAAAGACAGGCATAAGAAATTACAAAAGTATTAATTTGGGGAACTAATAAATGTCCATACAATCTTCACAATCCACATGCTTCTGTCATGGCTTCAGCCGGTCCCTCCGTTTGGGGTCCCTGACTTTCCGCAACAGCCAAGTCAATCTTAAGCCAAAAGAACAAAGCTGGAGGCATCATGCTACCTGACTTCAATCTATACTACAAGGCTACAGAATCCAAAACAGTATGATACTGGTATCAAAACAGAGATATAGATCAATGGAACAGAACAGAGCCCTCAGAAATAATGCCGCATATCTACAACCATATGATCTTTGACAAACCTGACAAAAACGAGAAATGGGGAAAGGATTCCCTATTTAACAAATGGTGCTGGGAAAACTGGCTAGCCATATGTAGAAAGCTGAAACTGGATCCCTTCCTTACACCTTATACAAAAATTAATTCAAGATGGATTAAAGACTTACACCTAAAACCATAAAAACCCTAGAAGAAAACCTAGGCAATACCATTCAGGACATAGGCATGGGCAAGGACTTCATGTCTAAAACACCAAAAGCAATGGCAACAAAAGCCAAAATTGACAAATGGGATCTAATTAAACCCAAGAGCTTCTGCACAGCAAAAGAAATTACCATCAGAGTGAACAGGCAACATATAGAATGGGAGAAAATTTTTGCAATCTACTCATCTGACAAAGGGCTAATATCCAGAATCTACAATGAACTCAAACAAATTTACAAGAAAAAAACAAACAAACCCCATCAAAAAGTGGGCAAAGGATATGAACAGACACTTCTCAATAGAAGACATCTATGCAGCCAAAAGACACATGAAAAAATGCTCATCATCACTGGCCATCAGAGAAATGCAAATCAAAACCACAATGAGATACCATCTCACACCAGTTAGAATGGCGATCATTAAAAAGGCAGGAAACAACAGGTGCTGGAGAGGATGTGGAGAAATAGGAACACTTTTACACTGTTGGTGGGACTGTAAACTAGTTCAACCATTGTGGAAGTCAGTGTGGTGATTCCTCAGGGATCTAGAACTGGAAATACCATTTGACCCAGCCATCCCATTACTGGGTATATCCCCAAAGGATTATAAATCATGCTGCTATAAAGACACATGCACATGTATGTTTATTGCAGCACTATTCACAATAACAAAGACTTGGAACCAACCCAAAAGTCCAACAATGATAGACTGGATTAAGAAAATGTGACACATATACAGCATGGAATACTATGCAGCCATAAAAAATGATGAGTTCATGTCCTTTGTAGGGACATGGATGAAGCTGGAAGAAACCATCATTCTCAGCAAACTATCGCAAGGACAAAAAACCAAATGCTGCATGTTCTCACTCATAGGTGGGAATTGAACAATGAGAACACATGGACCCAGGAAAGGGAACATCACACACTGGGGCCTGTTCTGGGGTCGGGGGAGAGGGGAGGGATAGCATTGGGAGATATACCTAATATTAAATGACAAGTTAATGAGTTCAGCACACCAACATGGCACATGTATACATACGTAACTAACCTGCACATTGTGCACATGTACCCTAAAACTTAAAGTATAATAAAAAAAAAAGAAAATTTACATTATGCATAAATATAGATTTGTGTAAAAAAAGTCACTGCAGAGCAGTAAAAAAAGGACATTTTTCATTAAATGATGCTGTCATGTTGGATATCTATATATATAGATGATTATAAAATGCTCTTTATCACACACCATACACAAATAGCAATTCCACATTGGTTATAGCAATATAGTAAAGAAAAAATAATAAAGCTTAACAAGTAATGTAGAATAGTTTTTGATCAATCAGTAGGTAAATATTTTGAAAGAACTTAACAAGAAATAAACACAAATTAAAAGATTGTTACATTTACCTACGTCATTAAGGCCTTAACTCTTTGCCAGTCCAAGATGTTGGATTAGAGGGAGCGTCAGCAGGCCTCTCCCACTTGGGAAGAAAAAGTAGGTTTTAGATATTTAACTGTGAACTTTTGTTCCAAGAAGCAATGCAGGAACATAACAGGAAAACTGAAATCCAGAGACACTTTGAAAGAAGTTGCAGGCTTCGCCTATATCTTGAGCCGGGAGAAAAACTGTAAGTCCCAGAGTTTGAGAGAGGGAGAGACTGCCTCCAGGATATACACCCTCAAAGGAGAACCTGGAAAACCAGGCCATGGGGGAAAGCCCTACCCAGCACTAGAACTGATTTAGAGAGTGGTGAGGAATCTAAAAGTGGAAGTGGCAGCAGGAAGAGCCTCACATGCATTTCCAGTGTCCAACATAGACCAAGAGAAGCCATTCCTTATTATGCCTCACAGGAACCTCATAAATGTCTCCCAACTAACTCAGACAGCAATCACAGGTTGAAAAAAGTCCCCAGCTGAATTCCACAGTATAGCCTTGAATGGAGAGCACTCCCTTGGCCAGAACCAAGGAATGAGTGGGAGGGAAGTATGCTGCAGCCAGGAGCTGGGTGTCCTAGCTGTGTGGGTGGATTGGGAGGGGCATGGCCTGAAACCTGTGGTTGCTATCTCTGTGAAGAAAGTTTATGGCCTGGGCAGTTGTGAATTATGAGTGTAGACAGCCTGCAACTTAGCTTTCTGCTGCAGGTGGAAAACTACTGGTGTGAGACCTGCCTTGTCAAGTATCTGGGAGCTGGGTGAGGCTTACTGCCACCTGCTACTACAAACTGCCTGCATGAACTCTTCTGTTCAGCAGAAGCAGCTATGTTCCTCTATAAAACATTACGACAGTGGTCAGATAACTGCCTTGTAACTCCCATAGGAGTTGCTGATTGCCCCACAGGCAGAGAGCCAGGGTACAAACCTGCCTGACCCAGCCCCCATCTGGCTTTGCCCCTCTAACCACCATGGTAGCTTAACACAAAGGATAGAATCTTTCGGGAGCTTTATAGCCCTGCTCATCACCTGAGAAACCAGAGTACCTCCCCAGGGTAACATAAGGCAACCAGAAATCCCATAACTATCATTGTAGCTTGTGTTCTTTTGTAAGTACCACCTCCTGGCTGGAGGCCAACCAGCCAACCAAATGGACTGTGTAGTCCATTATAGCATCTTCAAGTAGAATAACACTGTTCCCAGAAAGAAGAAAACTCATGTGCAACTTCTGCTATCGCCATTGCCTGCATCACCCTGGCCAACCAGGAGGTCCTGAGTCTGTCCACATGACCAGTTCATCACCACTACAACGCACAACTGAGAAAGCCAGCACACTAAGGCTACCTATAACCAAGGAGTCTCACAGTCTCTGTCACTCCCCTGCCACCACCATTAGGGCTGGTGCTGGTACCAGTTGCTGGGGGATATTAAGGACATGTACATCACCACATCCCTTGTAGACATTCCCCAGGACTAGCCTGGAGTATGGCAACTTCACTGGGTAGCTAGACTCAGGGGAGCAATGGCATTCACAGTAGTAGGGCTCTCAGGGATTCCCACTCCTAGAGGAATGGGGAGGGTACCACATCAAGGGAACATGCCTGGGACAAAATAATCCAAACAGCAGGACTTGAGTCCCAGATCTTTCTCCTGGTGGGAAGTTTCTTTCAGGAGAGGCATAGTTGCAGTGCCAGGCTCAGTGGGGAATGTCTGCAGCCCAGGAGCTCTACCCCAACACTCAGGCAGTCCTGGTGCTTGTGAAGGGTCTTGGAGAAGGAAACTTTTTTCTCCCTTATCCACCACTGTGGACACAGCTGTGGTTTTTTCCAAGAGCTCAGCATGGGTGCACTTAGAGACAGCCTTTCTGGAACCCTTCAGGGTGACATCATCCCCACAGAAGGAGCAACCTCCAAATGCAGGTTGCTTTGCATGAGAGGTAGAGTCACAATTCCTCTCTACTTGGAACATCAACATTCCTGCAGATAAAAATATGTGACTGTCTAATCTGAATAGCTGGAACACTAGGTGAAGAGTGTGTCTAGGTGATGGATAGCTTTTCTGCTGCCCTGGTAGGGAAGCTGAGGTAGATCCAGTCCTTCCCTCTTAAAAGACCTCAGTGCATTTTGCTGAGAGCTTCCCTAGCCACCTCTGTCAAGGCTGGGACCTCTGCCCACCATTGGGTATTGCATTTACCCATCTACTTTAGCCATAGCCAGTTTTTACCCATGGACATACCCCTTATTGGCCTGAAATAGTCAACCCAGTAAATAAAATACTGGGGAACAAATAAATAAATTAATAAGTACACAAAATAGGGGAATGAGTTAAGCTTCAAGAGATTTCTGCCATTGCAACCCTATAGAAAACAGTGAACTTGTTCATACACTGAGCACATTGTTACTACAATCATCATCCATCATACGAAAACTCTCTATAACCAAGGAACTTATATAGAGTCTTCACCCCTGAAGGAACCAAGAGCCAAATTAGGCTACAATAAACTATAAATATGAAAGTCACATTCTTGGGGGTGGGGACAAGAAAATTTTTAAAACCCGCAATTAAATACAAAATACATTCAGACTAATTAGAAGAAATAGTCTACACATGTAAGAAGAAATCAGAAAAAATAATTTTAGTAATATGACAAGAAAGGGTTCTATAACAACCCCAAAAGATTACACCAGCCCTGCAGCAATAAATACAAACCAAAATGAAATATTTGAAATACCAGATAAAGAATTTTTAAGGTTGATTGTTAAGCTACTCAAGGGGATAACAAAAGAAAGTGAAAACCTGCTTTTTAAAAAAAAAATTCAAGATATGAATGAAAAATTTGCAAAAGAGATAGATATCTTAAAGCAAAACCAATCAGAAATTCCAGAAATGAAAGACATAGGAAATTACAAAATGCAGTGGAAAGTTTCAACAATAAACTAAAACAAGTAGAAGAAAGAATTTCTGAGCTAGAAGAAAAGACTTTTGAATTGACCCAATCAGACAAAAATTAAAAGAATCAAAAGAAAGGAGCAAAGTTTCCAACAAATGTGAGATTATGTAAAATGGTTAAACCTAAAATTAATTGGTGTTACTGAGGGAGAAGAAAAAGCAAAAAGTTTGGAAAACTTATTTGAGTGAATAATTGAGGAAAACTTCCCTGATCTTGCTAGAGATTTAGATATTCAAATATAAGAAGCTCAAAGAACTCCTGTGAGACTCATTAGAAAAAGATGATCACCAAGACATAGTCAACAGGCTATAAAAAGTCAACATGAAGGAAATAAGTCTAAAAGCCGTGAGACAAAAGCATCAGGTAACCTATAAAGTAAAACATATCAGAGACTAACAGCAGACTTCTCAGCAGAAACCTTACAAGCCAGAAGGGATAGGAGTCCTATTGTTAGCCTCCCTAAACAGAATAACTGTCAGCCAGGAATTTTGTAGCCAGCCAAACCAACTTTCATAAACAAAGGAGATATAAAGTCATTTTCAGACAAAGAAATGCTGAGGAAATTTATTACCAGGTCATTCCTACAAGGAATGATAAGAGGAGTTCTAAATCTTGAAACAAAAGCTTGATATACACAAAAATGGAATCTCTTGAAAGCATTAAACTCACAATGCCTATAAAAAAAGACATGATAAAAAAAACAAAGCATCTAGACAAAATTTAACATGATAAATGGAACAATATCTCACATGTCAATATTAATGTTAAATATAAATGACCTAAATGCTCCACTTAAAAGGTGTAGACTGACAGAATGGATAAAGAATCACAAACCAAATATCTGCCGTCTTCAAGAGATTCAACTAACATGTAAGAATTCCTATAAACTCAAGGTAAAAGGGTGGAAAAAGCAGGAAAATAGCTACTCCTGCTCACAAATGGAGACCAAAAGTGAGCAGGAGTAGCTATTCTTTTATCAGATAAAACAAACTTTAAAACAACAACAGTAAAAAAAGACAAAGAAAGTCATTATATAATGATAAAAGGATCAGTCCAACAAGAAGATATCACAATCTTAAATAGCACTAGACAGACCATCAAGACAGAAAGTTAGCAAAGAAATAATGGGCTTCAACTACATTCCAGAACAAATGGACCTAATAGATATTTACAGAACATTCTACCCAAGAACTGCAGAATATACATTCTTCTCATCAGAACGTAGAACATTCTCCAAGACAGACTATATGATAGGTCACAAAACAAATCTCAATAAACTTTTAAAAATTAAACTCATATCAAGTGTCTTCTCACACAAGAGTGGAATAAAACTAGAAATCAACCCCAAAAGGAACCCTCAAAACTATACATATACAGGAAAATTAAACAAACTTCTCCTTGATGATTTTTGGTTTCATGATGAAATCAAGGTGGAAATTCAAAAGTTATTTGAAATGAATGATAATAGTGACACAAGTAATCAAAACCTCTGGTATACAGCAAAAGCAGGAAATTTTTTTTATTATAAAAAAAGACGAAATTTTTTTTGTTATACTTTAAGTTTTAGGGTACATGTGCACAATGTGCAGGTTTGTTACATATGTATACATGTGCCATGTTGGTGTGCTGCACCCATTAACTCGTCATTTAGCATTAGGTATATCTCCTAATGCTATCCCTCCCTCCTCCCCCAACTCCACAACAGTCCCTGGTGTGTGATGTTCCCCTTCCTGTGTCCATGTGTTCTCATTGTTCAATTCCCACCTATGATTGAGAACATGCGGGGTTTGGTTTTTTTGTCCTTGCTATAGTTTGCTGAGAATGATGGTTTCCAGTTTCATCCATCTCCCTACAAAGGACATGAACTCATCATTTTTTATGGCTGCATAGTATTCCATGGTGTATATGTGTCACATTTTCTTGATCCAGTCTATCATTGTTGGACATTTGGGTAGGTTCCAAGTCTTTGCTATTGTGAATACTGCTGCAATAAACATACGTGTGCATATGTCTTTATACCAGCATGATTTATAACCCTTTGGGGATATACCCAGTAATGGGATGGCTGGGTCAAATGGTATTTCTAGTTCTAGATCCCTGAGGAATTGCCACACTGACTTCCACAATGGTTGAACTAGTTTACAGTCCCACCAACAGTGTAAAAGTGTTCCTATTTCTCCACATCCTCTCCAGCACCTGTTGTTTCCTGCCTTTTTAATGATTGCCATTCTAACTGGTGTGAGATGGTATCTCATTGTGGTTTTGATTTGCATTTTTCTGATGGCCAGTGATGATGAGCATTTTTTCATGTGTCTTTTGGCTGCATAAATGTCTTCTTTTGAGAAGTATCTGTTCATATCTTTCACCCACTTTTTGATGGGGTTGTTTTTTTTTTTCTTGTAAATTTGTTTGAGTTCATTGTAGATTCTGGATATTAGCCCTTTGTCAGATGAGTAGATTGCAAAAATTTTCTCCCATTCTGTATGTTGCCTGTTCACTCTGATGGTAATTTCTTTTGCTGTGCAGAAGCTCTTGAGTTTAATCAGATCCCATTTGTCAATTTTGGCTTTTGTTGCCATTGCTATTGGTGTTTCAGACATGAAGTCCTTGCCATGCCTATGACCGGAATGGTATTGCCTAGGTTTTCTTCTAGGGTTTTCATGGTTTTAGGTGTAAGATTTAAGTCTTTAATCCATCTTGAATTAATTTTTGTATAAGGTGTAAGGAAGGGATCCAGTTTCAGCTTTCTACATATGGCTAGCCAGTTTTCCCAGCACCATTTATTAAATAGGGAATCCTTTACCCATTGCTTGTTTTTGTCAGGTTTGTCAAAGATCATATGGTTCTAGATATGCGGCATTATTTCTGAGAGCTCTGTTCTGTTCCATTGATCTATATCTCTGTTTTGGTACCAGTACCATGCTGCTTTGGTTACTGTAGCCTTGTAGTATAGTTTGAAGTCAGGTAGCATGATGCCTCCAGCTTTGTTCTTTTGGCTTAAGATTGGCTTGGTGATGCGGGCTCTTTTTTGGTTCCATATGAACTTTAAAGTAGTTTTTTCCAATTCTGTGAAGAAAGTCATTGGTAGCTTGATGGGGATGGCATTGAATCTATAAATTACCTTGGGCAGTATGGCCATTTTCACGATATTGATTCTTCCTACCCATGAGCATGGAATGTTCTTCCATTTGTTTGTGTCCTCTTTTATTTCATTGAGCAGTGGTTTGTAGTTCTCCTTGAAGAGGTCCTTCACATCCCTTGTAAGCTGGATTCCTAGGTATTTTATTCTCTTTGAAGCAATTGTGAATGAGAGTTCACTCATGATTTGGCTCTCTGTTTGTCTGTTATTGGTGTATAAGAATGCTTGTGATTTTTGTACATTGATTTTGTATCCTGAGACTTTGCTGAAGTTGCTTATCAGCTTAAGGAGATTTTGGGCTGAGACAATGGGGTTTTCTAGATATACAATCATATCATCTGCAAACAGGGACAATTTGACTTCCTCTTTTCCTAATTGAATACCCTTTATTTCCTTCTCCTGCCTAATTGCCCTGGCCAGAACTTCCAACACTATGTTGAATAGGAGTGGTGACAGAGGGCATCCCTGTCTTGTGCCAGTTTTCAAAGGGAATGCTTCCAGTTTTTGCCCATTCAGTGTGATATTGGCTGTGGGTTTGTCATAGATAGCTCTTATTATTTTGAGATACTTGTCATCAATACCTAATTTATTGAGAGTTTTTAGCATGAAGGATTGTTGAATTTAATCAAAGACCTTTTCTGCATCTGTTGAGATAATCATGTGGTTTTTGTCTTTGGTTCTGTTTATATGCTGGATTACATTTATTGATTTGTGTATGTTGAACCAGCCTTGCATCCCAGGGATGAAGCCCACTTGATCATGGCTCAAAATAAAGGGATGGAGGAAGATCTACCAAGCAAATGGAAAACAAAAAAAGGTAGGGCTTGCAATCCTAGTCTCTAATAAAACAGACTTTAAACCAACAAAGATCAAAGGAGACAAAGAAGGCCATTACATAATGGTAAAGGGATCAATTCAACAAGAAGAGCTAACTATCCTAAGTATATATGCACCCAATACAGGAGCACCCAGATTCATAGAGCAAGTCCTCAGAGACCTACTAAGAGACTTAGACTCCCACACAATAATAATGGGAGACTTTAACACACCACTGTCAACATTAGACAGATCAACGAGACAGAAAGTTAACAAGGATACCCAGGAACTGAACTCAGCTCTGCACCAAGTGGACCTAATAGACATCTACAGAACTCTCCACCCCAAATCAACAGAATATACATTCTTTTCAGCACCACACCACACCTATTCCAAAATTGACCACATAGTTGGAAGCAAAGCACTCCTCAGCAAATGTAAAAGAACAGAAATTATAACAAACTGTCTCTCAGACCACAGTGCAATCAAACTAGAACTCAGGATTAAGAAATTCACTCAAGACCACTCAACTACATGGAAACTGAACAACCTGCTCCTGAATGACTACTGGGTACATAACGAAATGAAGGCAGAAATAAAGATGTTCTTTGAAACCAACGAGAACAAAGACACAACATACCAGAATCTCTGGGACACATTCAAAGCAGTGTGTAGAGGGAAATTTATAGCACTAAATGCCCACAAGAGAAAGCAGGAAAGATCCAAAATTGACACCCTAAAATCACAATTAAAAGAACTAGAAAAGCAAGAGCAAACACATTCAAAAGCTAGCAGAAGGCAAGAAATAACTAAAATCAGAGCAGAACTGAAGGAAATAGAGACACAAAAAAACCCTTCAAAAAATCAATGAATCCAGGAGCTGGTTTTTTGAAAAGATCAACAAAATTGATAGACTGCTAGCAAGACTAATAAAGAAGAAATGAGAGAAGAATGAAATAGATACAATAAAAAATGATAAAAGGGATATCACCACCGATCCCACAGAAATACAAAATACCATCAGAGAATACTACAAACACCTCTACGCAAATAAACTAGAAAATCTAGAAGAAATGGATAAATTCCTCGACACATACACCCTCCCAAGACTAAACTGGGAAGAAGTTGAATCTCTGAATAGACCAATAACACGCTCTGAAATTGTGGCAATAATCAATAGCTTACCAACCAAAAAAAGTCCAGGACCAGATGGATTCACAGCCGAATTCTACCAGAGGTACAAGGAGGAGCTGGTACCATTCCTTCTGAAACTATTCCAATCAATAGAAAAAGAGAGAATCCTCCCTAACTCATTTTATGAGGCCAGCATCATCCTGATACCAAAGCCTGGCAGAGACACAACCAAAAAAGAGAATTTTAGACCAATATCCTTGATGAACATCGATGCAAAAATCCTCAATAAAATACTGGCAAACCGAATCCAGCAGCACGTCAAAAAGCTTATCTGCTAAGAGGAAATTTTATAGCACTAAGTGCGTATATCAAAAAGTCTGAAAGATCACAAATTGACAACCTACTGTCAAACTTCAAGGAACTAGAGAAGTAAGAACGCACTAAACCCAAATCTAGCAGAAGGAAAGAAATAAGAAATATCAGAGCAGAATTAAATGAAATTGAAACAAAAAAATACAAAAGATCAATGAAACAAAAGACTGGTTCTTTGAAAAGACAAAAAAGATTGATAAACCATTAGCCAGATTAACCAAGGAAACAAGAGAGAATATACAAATAAACTCAATTATAGATGAAACTAGAGACTTTACAACCAACACCACAGAAATACAAAAGATCATTTGAGACTCCTAGTTTGAAACACAAACCAGAAGACCTAGAGGAAATAGATAAATTCCTAGAAACATACAACTCTCCTAGATTAAATCAGGAAGAAATAGAAACCCTGAACAGACCAACAAAAAGCAGCAACACTGAATCAGTAATAAAAATAAATAAATAAATTGTCAACAACAACAAAAAAAATCCCAGGATCAGATGGATTCACAGCTGAACTCTGTCAGACATGGAAAGAAGAATTGATGTCAATCCTAATGAAATTATTCCAACAGATTAAGAAAGAGGGACTCTATAAATCATTCTATGAAGCCAGTACCATCTTGATACCAAAACCAGGAAATGATGTAACATAAAAATAAAACTACAGCCCAATATCCCTGATGAACATAGATGCAAAAATTCCCAGCAAAATACTAGCTAATCGAATCCAACAGTATATCAGAAAGATAATATATCATGAAGTGGGTTTTATTCCAGGGGTGCAGGAATGGCTTGACATATGCAAGTGAATTAATGTGATACATCACATAAACAGAATTAACAACAAAAACCATATGATCATCTTAATGGTTGCGAAAAAGCATGTGATAATATCCAGCATCTCCTTATGATAAAAACTCTCAACAAACTAGACATAGAAGGGGTTTACTTCAAATTAATAAAAGCCATATATGACAAATGCACAGCCAACATCATACAGAATGGGGAAAAGTTGAAAGCATTTCCCAAGAGAATTGGAACAAGACAAGGATGCCCACTTTCATCATTTCTGTTTAACATAGTACTTGAAGTCCTAGCTAGAGCAATCAGGCAAGAGAAAGAAAAAAAAAAGGCATTCATATTAGAAAAGTGGAAGTTGAACTGTTTGTTGATGATATGATCATATGCCTAGAAAACCCTCAAGATTCATCCAAAAGACTCCTAGATTTGATCAATAATTCAGTAAATACTCAAGTTTCAAATTCAATGTACACAAATCAGTAGCATTGCTATACACCAATGACCAAGTTGAGAATCAAATCAAGAATTCAATCCCTATTACAACAGCTGTGAAAAATAAAATAAAATAAAATAAAATAAAATACCTAGAAATATATATAACCAAGGAGGTGAAAGTCCTTTACAAGAGCTATAAATCACTGCTGAAAGAAATCACAGATGACACAAACAGAAAAACATCCCATACTAATGGCTTGGAGGAACCAATGCTGTAAAAATGATCATACTGCCCAAAGCAATCTATAGATTCAATACAATTTCCATTAAAAGACCAAAATTATTTTTCACAGAATTAGAAAAAAATCTAAAATTCATATGGAACCAAACAAGAGCCTGAATAGCCAAAGCAATCCTAAACAGAATGAACAAATCTGGAGGCATCACATTACAAGACTTCAAGTTATACTACAAGGCCATTGTTATCTAAACAGCATGGTACTGGTATAAAAGTAGGTGCAAAGAGCAATGGAACAGAATAGCGAACCCAGAAATAAAGCCAAATACATAAATACTTACAACTAACTGATATTTGACAAAGGATACAAAAACATACAGTGGAGAAAGGACATCCTATTTAATAAATGGTGCTGGAAAAACTCACTAGCCACATGCAGAAGCATGAAACTGGATCCCTGTCTCTCATCCTATACAAAAATCAACTCAAGATGGATGAAAGACTTTAAGACCTAAAACTATAAAAATTCTAGAAGATAACCTTGAAAATAACTTTTCTGGACATTGGCCTAGGCAAAGAATTTGTGACTAAAACTCAAAAAACAAATGCAACAAAAACAAAAATAAATAAATGGAAACTGATTAAAATTAAAAGCTTCTTTAGTACAAAAGAAATAATCATCAGAGTAAACAGATAACCCACAGAATGGGAGAAAATATTTACAAATTATGCATCTGACAAAGGATGACTATCCAGAATCTACAAGAAACACAAAGAAATCAGCCAGAAAATAATAATCCCATCAAAATGTGGGCAAATGACATAAAGAGACATTATTCAAAAGAAGATATACAAATGTCGCCAAATATATGATAGAAATGCTCAACATCACTAATCATTCGGGAAATGCAAATTAAAACCACAGTGAGACATCACCCTACTCTTGCAAGGATGGCTTATTATTAAAAAGTCAAAAAACAATTGATGTTGGCATGGATATTATGAAAGAGGAATGCTTTTACACTACTGGTGGTAATGTAAATTAGTACAACCTTCATGGAAAACAGTATGAATATTCCTTAAAGAACTAAAAGTAGATCTACCATTC